>NC_000022.11:29012594-29164109 GCF_000001405.40 Homo sapiens | reverse complement strand
GGCGCAGCAATGCGCGCCTGTAATCCCAGCTACTCGGGAGGCTGAGGTGGGAAGATCCCTTGAGCCCAGCGGTTTGTCCCTTGAGCCCAGCGGTTTGAGGCTGCAGTGCGCTATGATTCAATCTGTGAATGGGCCCTGCACTCCAGCCTGGGCAACATAGCAAGACCTCGTTTTTTTTTTCAACTTTTATTTTAGATGTAGGGCGTACATACGCAGGTTTGTTACGTGGGTGTATTGCGTGATGCTGAGGTTTGGGATATGAATGATCCCATCAGCCAGGTGGTGAGCATAGTTCCCAAGAGTTAGTTTTTTCAACCCTTGACCCCTTCTCTCCCTTCCCCCCTTAGTAGTCCCCAGTGTCTACTGTTGCCATCTTTATGTCCCTGAGTACCTGTATTAGTCTGTTCTCACACTGTTATAAAGAAATGCCTGAGGCCGGGCGTGGTGGCTCATGCCTGTAATCCCAGCACTTCGGGAGGCTGAGGTGGGTGGATCACTTGAGGTCAGGAGTTCCAGACCAACCTGGCCAACATGATGAAACCCTGTCTCTACTAAAAATACAAAAATTAGCTGGGCGTGGTGGTGGCCCCTGTAATCCCAGCTATTCGGGAGACTGAGGTAAGAGAATCGTTTGAACCCGGGAGGCGGATATTGCAGTGAGCCGAGTTCGCGCCACTGCACTCCAGCCTGGGCGATGAGAGTGAAACTCCATCTCAAAAAAACAAAACAAGAAAGAAATACCTGAAACTGGGTAATTTATAAAGGAAAGAGGCTTAATTGACTCACAGTTTCGCATTATTTGCTGGGGAGGCCTCAGGAAACTTACAAGCATGGCGGAAGGCAAAAGGAGAAGCAGACACCTCCTTCAAGAGATGGCAGGAGAGCGTGAGAGCTAGAGCAGGAAAAAATTCCACTTTTAAAACCATCAAATCTCGCGACATTCACTCACTATCACGAGAACGGCGGGGCGGTGGGGAATTGCCCCGGTAATCCTTCCCTCCCTCAACACGTGGGGATTACAGGTCCCTCCTTGGCAAGCAGGGATTACGATTCGAGATGAGATTTGTGTGAGGACACAGAGCCAAACCATATCAGTACCCAATGTTTATGGTTTTATGTACTTGTGAATGGCCTCCAGCTGGATCTGTATTGCTGCAAAGTACATGATTTAATTCTTTTTTATGATTATGTAGTATTCCACAATGTATATGTACTATGATTTCTTTATCTAATCCACCATTGATGGGCACCTACGTTGATTCCTTGTCTTTGCTATTGTGAATAGTGCCGCAATGCACACACAAGTGCCTATGTCATTTTGGTATAATACTTTGTTTCCTTTTGGATATATACCCAATAATGGAATTGCTTTTTTTTCTTTTTTTCTTTTTTTTTGTGTGACGGAGTTTTGCTCTTGTTGCCCAGGCTGGAATGCAGTGGCACAATCTCGGTTCACTGCAGCCTCCACCTCCAGGGTTCAAGCAATTCTCCTGCCTCCCGAGTAGCTGAGATTACAGGCATCTGCCACCACGCCCAGCTAATTTTCTGTATTTTTAGTGGAAACGGGGTTTCACCATGTTGGCCAGGCTGGTCTTGAACTCCTGACCTCAGTTCATCCACTTGCCTCAGCCTCCCAGAGTGCTGGGATTATAGGTGTGAGCCACTGTGCCCGGCCGGCATTGCTTTTCTTGTTCCAAGGGGGAATGCTTCAGTGTTTGCCTATTCAGTATGATGTTGGCTGTGGGTTTGTCATAGATGGCTCTTATTATTTTGAGGTACATTCCTTCGATGCCTAGTTTCTTGAGGGTTTTTATCACGAAAGGATGTTGGAGTTTATTGAAAGCATTTTCTGCATCTATTGGGATGATGGTTTTTGTTTGTAATTCTGTTTATGTGGTGAATCACATTTATTGATTCATGCATGTTGAACCAATCTTGCATCACAGGAATGAAACCTACTTGATCATAGTGAATTAATCTTTTTTTTTTTTTTGAGGTAGAGTCTCGCTCTGTTATTCAGGCTAGAGTGCAGTGACACAATCTCGGCTCACTGCAACCTCCACCTCCAGGTTCAAGTGATTCTCCTGCCTCAGCCTCCCGAGGAGCTGGGATTATAGACATGCACCACCATACCTGGCTAATTTTTTTGTATTTTTAGTAGAGATGGGGTTTCGCCATGTTGGTCAGGCTGGTCTCGAACTTATGGCCTCTAGTGATCTATCCACCTCAGCCTCCCAAAGTGCTGGGATTACAGCATGAGCCACCACCCGGCCAACTTTTTGATGTGCTGTTGAATTCAGTTTGCTAGTATTTTGTTGAGGATTGTTGTGTCTATGTTCATCAGGGATATTGGCCTGAAGCTTTCTTTTTTCACTGTGTCTTTGCCAGGTTTTGAGGTCAGGGTGATGCTGGCTTCATAGAATGAGTTAGAGAAGAGTTCCTCCTACCTGATTTTTTGGAATAGTTTCAGTAGAATTGGTAGCAGCTCTTCCTTGTACATCTGGTGGAATGTGGCTGTAAATATAACTGGTCCAAAGCATTTTTTGGCTGGTAAGTTTTTTAGTACCAATTCAATATCTTTTTTTTTTTTTTTTTTTTTTTTTGAGATGGAGTCTCACTCTGTCACCCAGGCTGGAGTGCAGTGGCGCAATCTCAGCTCACTGCAAGCTCTGCCTCCCGGGTTCACGCCATTCTCCTGCCTCAGCCTCCCAAGTAGTTGGGACTACAGGCGCCTGCCACCACGCCTGGCTAATTTTTTGTATTTTTAGTACAGACGGGGTTTCATCATGTTAGCCAGGATGGTCTCGATCTCCTGACCTCATGATCTGCCCACCTTGGCCCCCCAAAGTGCTGGGATCACAGGCATGAGCCACCACGCCTGGCCAGTGCTGATTCAATTTCTGAACATGATATTGATTTGTTCAGTCTTTCAGTTTCTTCCTGATTCACTCTTGGGAGATGGTGTGTTTCCAGGAATTTATCTATTGCCTCTAGATTTTCTAGTTTATGTGTGCAGAGGTGTTCATAATAGTCTCTGAGGATCTTTTGTATTGTGGGGTCCCTTATTACAAGTGACACATTTGTTATTTCTGATTTTGCTTATTTGATCTCTCTTTCTTTGTTAATCTAGCTAGCGGTTTACTGATCCTGTTTATCCTTTCAAATAATCAACTTTTGGTTTTGCTGATTCTTTGTATGAATTTTTGTGTCTCAATTTCATTAAGTTCTACTCTGATTTTAGTTATTTCTTTTCTTCTGCTATCTTCTGGGTTAGCTTGTTCTTGTTTTTCTAGTTCCTCTATGTGCGATATTAGATGGTTAATCTGAGGTCTAACTTCTTGAGGTAGGCATTGAGCACCATCAGCTTTCCTCTTAACACTGCTTTTGCTGCATCCCAGAGATTTTGGTATTTTGTATCTCTGTTTTCATTTCTTTCAAAGAATTTTTTTGATTTTGTGCCTTTATTTTGTTGTTTACCCCCAAAATCATTCAGGAGCAAGTCATTTAATTTTCATGTAATTGTATGGTTTTGAGAGATCTTCTTAATTTTTTTTTTTTTTTTTTTTTTTTGAGACGGAGTCTCGGTCTGTCACCCAGGCTGGAGTGCAGTGGCATGATCTCGGCTCACTGCAACCTCCATCTCCCAGGTTCAAGTGATTCTCCTGCCTCAGCCTCCCGAGTAGCTGGGATTACAGGCACCTGCCACCATGCTTAGCTAATTTTTTTTTTTTTTGTATTTTTAGTTGAGACAGGGTTTCACCATGTTGGGCAGGCTGGTCTCGAACTCCTGACCTCAAGTGATCCACCTGCCTTGGCCTCCCGAAGTGCTAGGATTACAGGAGTGAGCCACCACACCCAGCCGAAATCTTCTTAGTATTTTCCGTCTTCATTCTACTGTGGTCCAAGAGTATGGCTGGTATGATTTTGATTTTTTTGAATGTATTGAGACTTGCTCTATGGCTGAGCATGTGGTTGATCTTGGAATATGTTCCATGTGTGGATGAGAAGAATGTATATTCTGTGGCTGATGGGTGGAGTTTTCCATAGATGTCTAATAGGTCCAATTGGTCAAGTGCTGAGTTTAAGTCCAGAAATTCTTTGGTAGTTTTCTGCCTTGATGATCTGTCTAATGCTGTCAGTGGGGTGTTGAAGTCCTCCACTATTATGGGGCTAAGAGACCTTATCTTTAAAAAAAAGTCCAGGTCTCCTTAAGTGTTTCTACATATATATAAGTAGAGTCCCCTGAGGTTAGCCTCCCTCTTGCTTTAATCTGATGTCCCCATTTTCCTATATGGGCACGGACTTCATCCACCCATCTGCCATCCTCAACATCACGTCACGTGCAGAGTTCATCGTTCTCTGTTTGTGAAAAATCTCTCACCAGTAAGCACCTGTTTCTGACCAGTCTTGCTCCTTAGCAAGGAGAGTCTGAAACCTGTGCTTCCTGAATGTTTGTTTATTTATTTATTTTTGTTTTTGTTTTTTATTTTTTAGACAGAGTCTCGCTCTGTTGCCCAGGCTGGAGTGCAGTGACGTGATCTCGGCTCACTGCAACCTCCGTCTCCTGGGTTCATGCAATTCTCCTGCCTCAGCCTCCTGAGTAGCTGGGATTACAGGCGTGCGCCACCACACCTGGCTAATTTTTGTATTTTTAGTAGAGATAGGGTTTCACCATGTTGGTCAGGCTGGTCTCGAACTCCTGACCTCAAGATCCACCCGCCTCAACCTCCCAAAGAGCTGGGATTACAGGCATCAGCCACCGCTCCTGGCCTTTGGTTTTGTTTTGTTTTTGCTTCCTGAATGTTTACACCTGAGAACATTAAGGAGCAAAACACTCCTGGGCTGGCTGGGTGCAGTGGCTCATGCCTGAAATCCCAGCACTTTGGGAGGCCAAGGAGGAAGGATCACTTGAGCCCAGGAGTTCGAGACCAGCCTGGGCAACGAAGTGAGATCCTGTCTCTAAAAAAAAAAAAAAAAAAAAAAAACACTTGGCTGGGCACCGTGGCTCATGCCTGTAATCCCAGCACTTTAGGAGGCCAAGGCAGGTGGATCACTTGTGGTCAGGAGTTCGAGACCAGCTCTGGCCAACATGGAGAAACCCTGTCTCTACTAAAAATACAAAAATTAGCCCAGCTTGGTGGCAGCTGCATGTAATCCCAGCTACTTGGGAGGCTGAGGCAGGAGAATCGCTTGAACCCAGGAGGCGGAGGTTGCAGCGAGCTGAGCAGTGAGCCAGCCTGGGCAACAGACTGAGACTCCGTCTCAAAAAACAAAAACAAAACAAAAAATCAACACTCTTGAGCTGACCACTACTGCCGATCATCTTCCAGACCCATTTCCTGTGGTCTTGGTCTCCCACTAGGCTGGCAAATAACCATCAGCCACAGCCATGCCCTGGAGGTGGGGCCATCTGGAACCAAGACTGATCCCTTCTGGACTCAGGACTGACTTTGTAATTTGTGAGGCCCAGTGCAAAATAAAAATATGGGGCCCCTTCTTGGAAAATGATTAAGAATTTCAAGACAGTGACAGCTAGGGCCAAATGTGGGGCCTTTGTGAGGATGGGCTCTGTGTGACTGTGGAGGCTGCACATCCATGAAGCTGCCCTGCTGGTGGCAGAGACTTTTCCAGCCCTCCAGGCCCAGTTTCCCTAGAATTCCCCGTGCCCCATGTCGGCGCCTCTCCGCTGTTCTCCCTTTTCCTTCCCCAGTGCCCTCTTACATCCTCTTTTCTGCAAAGTGAGCCAGGAATCTTGGCTGGCGTGGCCTCCCCTTGATGTCTTCAGGGCTATTGGGTTTCCCTTGACATTCATCTGGGGGACTCTGTCTCTTGCTCCGGCATCATTTTGTCCCTCTACTGCCATGGCTGGCTGCACGTGAGGAACCTGGACCACATGGGGCTAGATTGCAAATTGGTACCCCGTGTTTTACCCGTGTTTCTCACACTGGGCCAGCCCACTTCTCCAGCCTCATGCTCTCATGTGCTGAGCAACAATCTCAAGGCATTCTGGGCCCTGACATGACTACGAGTTTTTGAATAGTGTGGCAGAGACAGGCTATATATTCGCTAATTTCATTGTACACAACTCCTGGCCCACTGGAAGACTACATTTCCCAGTGGCCTTTGCATCCAGGTGAGACCATGTGACCTGTAACAGACAATGAAATGTGAGGGAAAATGAAGTACAGGACTCCTAGGCCATGTCCCTCTGCCATGTTTGCTCCCCTGACCTGCCTGTTTGTGACACAGATGGTGGAATGACAAGATGGAAGCAATCCCTTCTTACTTTGTAGTCTCCCTTAGAGGCTACACAATGCCCTTCTCCCAGCCCAAGGGCTCAGGGGATGTATCTAGGGGGATTGGCTTTCTCCCCATTTTCCAAGGCGGGTCCTTGCCACCAGCCTCCGTGTTTTCAGGAAGCTCCGTGCAGCCATGGACATGACATTGGCCACAGAGGCAAAGTCATGGTGGGGGCTGGATGTGGTGGCTCACACCTGTAATCCCAGCACTTTGGGAGGCCGAGGCAGGTGGATCACTTGAGGCCAGGAGTTCGAGACCAGCCTGGCCAACATGGTGAAACACCATTTCTACTAAAAATACAAAAATTAGCTGGGCGTGGTGGCACATGCCTGTAATCCCAGCTATTCGGGAGGCTGAGGCAGGAGAATCACCTGAACCCAGGAGGTGGAGGTTGCAGTGAGCTGAGATCGTGCCATTGCACTCCAGCCTGGGCAACAAGAGCGAGACTCCATCTCAAACCACAACGAAAAACAAAGTCATGGTGGGGCCTTGGACACGAATTCTGCTCTCTGGGCCTCGGCTCCCCCACTGGAAAGAAGGCAATCCCCCAGCCTCTCATGATGGAATTCTGGTCCAGGGGACAGCTCTCAGCTGTCTCTGGCTACATCCAAGGGAAGACCTGACTGTAATCTTTGCGTGGAGCCCCCACAGGTCGGCTCCTCTGACTTGGCATAGTTTGTAGAAGCCTGAAGATGATAACCCTCTGGAAAGAGTTTTCCAATATGAATATGTGGGGATGGGCAGGTGTGGCTTCAAAGTTGTAAAAAGGGTTCAGTCCATCTTTACCCCCACTTACCAGCAGGATGACCTTGGTCTAGGAACACCTGTCTGAAGAAGAGATGTTATCCACCCAGGATTAAGTGATGGCAGCACAGGCTTTATTTCTCCAAGACTCAATTTCCTCATCTATAAAAACTGGAATAGAACTGTACCTACCTCATGGGGTTGCTGGGAGAGTCAAAGGAAATAAGGCACCGTATGTAGAGTTGAGCGGGGAGCCTGGTCCGAGGGTGTTTAGTGAATGCAATGTCAAGATGACCGAGTGCCTGCCCCTCAGCAGCCTTGCTCCTCCCAGCTCTGCGTGCAGGCCCTGGGGCTCCCCCGAGTGGTTTGATGAATGCTAGGGCTGCTCACAGCCCTTCATCTGGAATGGGATGCAGCAGTGTGGGGGCCTTCTTAGGGGTGGGTTCCTAGTACCTCATTTAGAGTTTTGAAGAGGCAGCCAGCGTCCTGTGCGGAGAGCATTCCTGTGCGGAGAGCATTCCAAGGCCTGGAAGGCCCACCAATCACCAAGTTCTAGCACAGGCCCAATCAATCACTCCCACAACCTGCTGCAGACTGGCTGGTGGAAGATCAGACGCCCTGGTTGCTGAGGGTTAATTACCAACTTGGCACCCATTGTCTCAGGGAGAAATTGCAAGAGTCTTTCTCTTTTTGTCTCTTTCCAAAGGCATAAACATCTGTACTGCAAGTGGCCCAGGGGGCCTGGAGATGTTTATTTTGTAGTTAACAAAGAGAAGGACATTTTGGCTTGGGAGCTGAGCATTCTGCTGGCCCAAAGCTTCTGGGAGACTCCCTGCACTGGGAGGTGTCTCCAGGAGTGGCTCAGGGTGGGGCAGGGCAGTGGCATGGGTGATGCTGGACAGCAGAATAGATGTCTAGTCCAGGGCATTGGCCAGGCCCCCTTCCTGGGGGCAAGCAGGGGAAGCAGTGTTCCTCAGTGCTCCTAGTGCGTGCTGGAAACACATGCACCAGCCTTTTAACAGTGCTTCCACTGAGCAGTGTGACAGTGAGAGAGACTTATGTTGTTCTTTTTGTTTTGTGTGCTTTCCAAATTTTTTTTTTTTTTTGAGATGGAGTTTCACTCTTGTTGCCCAGGCTGGAATGCAGTGGCACCGTCTCAGTTCACTGCAACCTCTGCTTCCTGGGTTCAAGTGATTCTCCTGCCTCAGCCTCCTGAGTAGCTGGGATTACAGGCACGCGCCACCACACCCAGCTAATTTTTGTATTTTTAGTAGAGACGGGGTTTCGCCATGTTGACCAGGCTGATCTCAAACCTCTGACCTCAGGTGATCCTCCTGCCTTGGCCTCTCAAAGTGCTGGAATTACAGGTGTGAGCCACCGGGCCCAGCCTCCAAATTTTAAAATAATCCACCTGCACTTTATTTTCAAACTTGCACATGTAATGCATGAATGTAAGAGATTCAAGCCACATATAAATATATCAAATAAAATGTGAAAATGTAAGTGTCCTCACCTTCTCTTTTCCTTTTTGGAGACAGGGTTTCACTCTGTTGCCCAGGCTGGAGTGCAATGGCGTGATCACGGCTCACTGCAGCCTAGACCTCCCAGGCTCAAGTGATTCTCCCACTTCAGCCTCCTGAGTAGCTAGGACTACAGGCACACACCACCATGCTTGGCTAATTTTTATATTTTTTGTAGACACCGGGTTTTGCCATGTTGCCCAGGCTGGTCTCGAACTCCTGGGCTCAAGAGATCCACTTACCTTGGCCTCCCAAAGTGCTGGGATTACAGGCGTAAGCAACTGCCCCTGGCCTCCTCCTGTCTTCTTCCTTTCCTTTTCCAAAGGTGACCACAATAAGAGTTAGGCACAGAACTTGCAGGACTTTGCTGGTGCCTTTGTATACACATACATATATTTCCCTCCCTCTTTTTAAAATTTGGCCAAAAAAAAAAAATTACACTTATGCTTTGTTCTTTGACTTTTTTCACGTAAGATATTCTGATACAGTGTGTGTAGAAGCACTACATTAATTTGTTCTTTTTTTTTCATTGCCTTTGGAGATTATACACCACATTAATTTCAATGGTGACATAGGATTTCATAGTATGGAGGTAGAATAATTCATCTGATCACTTATCTGATAGAATGAGTTCTTTAGAGGGCTTGGTGAGAGTGAGACCTGGGCTAATGTCCAGGTTTAGAGTCAGGACACCTGTGACATTATTTTTTTCTTTTTTCTTTTCTCTCGCAATTTTGCCCAGGCTGATTCTGAACTCCTGGGCTCAAGGCATCCTTCCTCTCAGCCTCCAGAGTAGCTGGGATTACAGGCACGCATCACCGCGCTGGGCAAAAAATCCGTGTAACTGTAATGGAAGGGCTTGAGAGCAGTTGCGGTTCAGGGCTGGCCTTCTTCCGCAGATCTGCAGTCTTACCACGGGGCGGCGCTGGTGAGCAAGCCTGCGCTGGGACGGCTCCTGCAGGAAAGGCGAGGGCGGCAGGAGGCGGCGGCTGGGGGCTCTGCCGCAGCGGGAGCTGGGCGGGCGGGCAGCTCCTTACCTCTGCCAGCTGGGCCAGGGGCCTTAGCCTATTTGTCCACCTGCAGCATTGGGGGAACTATGAGGACATTCAAATTCTGCATTTGTTCCCTTACCTGAAGCAACAGATAAGGAAATCCACTGCAGGCAGGGAGTCGGCAGAAAAGGGTATTTTCACCCAACAGCTAGGTCCCTAAGAAAGTAAAGGTCAATAGATACCTTTATTAAATGGGGTCACATATTGAAGGTCCTGGGGGAAACCAGCTACTTGAAGGAACCAAGTCAGGAATTATTCTCTAAGGAGGGAACTGCCCCTACTTTGTGCATTGTAAACTTGGAGTTTGATAAATAGGGTTCTCAATCTGAAAGGCAGGGCAAATCTGAGGTGCCCCCTGCTCCTGGTGGTCCCCTGAGTTTACTGATAAAAATTGTTAAAATGTATTGAGGACTCACAGGCCAGTCACTGAGCTAAATATTGTACCTTTCTTATTTCATTTAATCTTCACAACAACCCTATGAGAAACTACTGCTGTATCTCTTTTCTTTCTTTTTTTTTTTTTTGAGAGGAAGTCTTGCCGTTACCCAGGCTGGAGTGCAGTGACTAGATCTCGGCTCACTGCAACCTCCGCCTCCCAGGTTCAAGCGATTCTCCTGCCTCAGCCTCCCGGAGTAGCTAGGGAGTAGCACGCCAGGCTGATTTTTTTGTATCTTTAGTAGAGACGGGGTTTCAACATGTTGGCCAGGCTGGTCTCAAATTCCTGACCTCAGGTGATCCGCCCGCCTCGGCCTCCCAAAGTGCTGGGATTATAGGCATGAGCCACCATGCCCAGCCTGTACCTATTTTCTAGATGAATAAATGGAGGTTATAAAGGAGCCAGGCATGGTGGCTGGTGCCTGTAATCTCAGCACTTCGGGAGGCCAAGACGAGAGGATCACTTGAGCCCAGGAGTTCAAGACTAACCTGGGCAACATAGTGAGACGCTGTCTCTACAATAATTAAAAAAAAAAGAAAAAATCAGCTGGACGTAGCAGCCCACGCCTGTGGTCCCAGCTACTCAGGAAGCTGAGATGGAAGGATTGTTCAAACCCAGGAGAGTGAGGCTGCAATGAGCTATGATTGTGCTGTCAGAGGCAATGGAAACAGAGCGACTCCATCTTGAATAGGGGCTGAATAAAATGAGGCTGAGACCAGCTGGGCTGCATTCTAAGGAGGCTGGGCATTCTTAGTCACAGGATGAGATAGGAGGTCGGCAGGACTGGCTTCACAAGATACAGGTCACAAAGACCCCGCTGATAAAATGAGATGCAGTGAAGAAGCCGGACAAAACCCGCCAAAACCAACATGGCTGGTTGTCCTCACTGGTCATTATATGCTAATTATAATTCATTAGCATGTGAAAAGACACTCCCACCAGGGCCATGACAGTTTATGAATGCCATGGCAATATCTGGAAGTTACCCTATATGGTCTAAAAAGGGAAGGAACCCTCAGTTCCGGGAACTCCCCACCCCTTTCCCAGAAAACTCATGAATAATCCATCCCTTGTTTAGTATATCATCAAGAAATAACCGTAAGTCTACTCAGTCAAGCAGCCCATGCCGCTGCTCTCCCTATGGAGTAGCCCTCCTTTATTCCTTTACTTTCTTAATAGACTTGCTTTCACTTTACTGTCAGCTCACTCTTGAGTTCCTTCCTGCTTCAAGCCAGGAACCCATGGGGCACCCCCAGGCTGAATCCCAGTTTTGGAGTTTACCCTGTGACGGTGCCACTGCTCTCCAGCCTGGGCGACAGAGTGAGACCCTGTCTTTAGAGAGAGGAAAAAAAGGAAAGGTTGTGCTTGGCAGGCAGTGTGCCAGAGCCCCAAGAGTCAGCAGGAGGGGTTGGGGGGAGAGTGGAGGGGTGCAAGGGGCGGGGAGGAGCTGGAGAAAGTTGAGCAGATTCTGTCTCCCGCTAGGGCAGATCCCAGCCCAGTAAGTCAGCGCACAGAAGGGCAGGCCTCGCCCGTCTCACAGGACTGAGAAGAAAGGCGAGTTTCTAAGAGACTGGAGGACTCCCTACATGGGAAAGGGAAGTGATTTTAGCCTGTTTGGCTGGGAGTTCGGCTGATGGTTCCAACTCATGGGTATTAGCAGAGGGGAACAAGGAATTGCTGAGGGTGGCAAATTGGTTATAATTAAGAGAACCTGGGAGACGCAAAACAATGTGAAGGCCACCAGCTGTCCTGGATCTGGAGACTCTGTCCTTGGAGCCGCTTGTAGGGGGTTAGAGGGATGGCTCAGGAAACCAGCCGCCCTCCCCTGCAGTGCAGACCATTCAGCAAAGACTGCAGGAGGATGGAGCCTCTCTGCCTGATATTCCCAGGGCCCAGGGGACTGCCCTTGCTCCTGGGTCTTCCTTCCTGCTTCACTGTCACCTTTTCTTCCTCCACAATTTAAATGTACCCATCTTGTCTCTTAGGAAAGCAAACAGGCTTGGGAGTGGGCTCAAATCCTGACTCCTGTGCTTTTTTTTTTTTTTTTTAAGACAGAGTCTTGCTCTGTCTCCCAGGCTGGAGTGCAATGGCACAATCTCGGCTCACGGCAACCTCCACCTCCCCGGTTCAAGCAATTCTCCTGCCTCAGACTCCTGAGTAGCTGGGATTACAGGCATGTGCTACCACACCTGGCTAATTTTTATATTTTTAGTAGAGACAGGGTTTCACCATGTTGGCCAGGCTAGTCTCAAACTCCTGACCTCAAGTGATCCACCCACCTCAGCCTCCCAAAGTGCTGAGATTACAGGCATGAGACATCATGCCTGGCCGGTTTTTACACTTTTTAATTTTGGGGGGAAAAAATCAAAAGAATAGCATTTTGTAGCATTTCGTGACACATGAACATTATATAAACTTCAGGTTTTGGTGTCCGTGAAGTTTTATGGGAACACAAGCGTGACCATTTGTTTACATATTGTCTGTGGCTAATAACAAGGGGAGCTTGGTGGCCCCCATCCCCCGACTCCTCATGGAGTTGCGTAGATGGCTCCAGGGCTTGTTGGAGTCATCCAGGGTCCCAGTGGCTGGCCTGTGGTTCTGGTCAATGGATCTGAGACTGTATAGCCTGCAAAGTCTAAAATGTTTAGTATTTAGCCTTTTACAGAAAATGTTTGCCGACCCCTGGCATAAATGCCTGACAACAGGTGATCAGTAAAATGTATCCTGTTATTCGTATTATTATGACTGTTACTATTATCCCTTCTGGCCTCATTTTAACTTTCAAATAATCATGCTCATGGCTTAATGGAGAGATTCTAAACCTGAGGTCCATGGAAGGGTTTCAGGGGGCAGGGGGTCTCTGGACCCCTGCAGTTTGGCAGATGGGGTCTTTTTTGCAGGGAGAGGCTCCATCCAACCCCTGGTTCTCAAAGGGGTTTGTGTCATCAAATAGGTAAAGAAGTGTAGGTTTGATTCTTCCTTGACCCAGGAAAATCGATCCACACTTTCCCTGGGCTTTCCGGAGGCCATATCCTTGAAGATGAGCTATTTGGGGGCCCACCCACTGCCTGTGTTGGAGGGGCCTGCAGCTCAACAGGAGTAAGGACCCCCAGCTTTGGAGCCAGTGGTCCCAGGCTGAGTCCGAACCTTGGCGGCCCCTGGCTGGACCCCTTCTCTGACCCTCAGTTCCCTTGTTGGGTTGCGGCAAAGATGAATTCGGTAATGTCTGTTGGTCACTTGGCACAGCGTCTGGTACACAGTACGTACTGCAGAGATGGTAGTGGTTATTAATCTTATTGTCCTTGCACATTCAAAAGTGCTTTCCTCAGCTCACTCAGACCCAGGAAAAGCTGCGCCTGTGTTTGGCTGAATTTGAGGTCTGAATACCCCTTGAGGGCCCTTAATCTCTATCTTAGGTACCAGCAACTAAGGCAAGTCCACTAAACATTCACATGATCAATATGCAAAGAAGCACGACCCTCAGTGAAGTTTTTAAAAGTTCAGTGACCTCATTTGAACAGAGACAATGCTACTAAGACGGAAATAAATGGGATCTGCAGCTTCACTGTTGCGAAAGCCCTGGCTGTTTCCGAGTGTTTGGTGTTTCTCCCGGAGGGGTTACTCTGGAGCTCAAGCTTGGGTCTACTTTCCCCCTAAAACGCTTCTTGTGGAGCCCCTTTTCCCCGCTCAGTCACCCAGAGCTAACGGGTTTATTCCAAAGCCCAGCAACCACCACCGGGAGGGGACAGGGTGTCCTTGCAGCCAAGCTGTCCTGGAGATGGGCGTCCTGCACAGACTGGTTCATGTTCAGTCCGGCAGGCACTGCCCCCCCCCCCACCAGTTGCTGGGCATAGGCCCATTCAGGGGAGGCCTGGTGGCTCCAGACAACAGCTGGAGACCAGAAATGAAGACTTCCAGCTACAAGCAAATGTTGCTGCTTCTTAAGGTTGAAGTATTCTATCTCTAAAGTGTCCCTTTGAGCTGAGCGAAAACAATCCCCCATCGGGACCCGACCTCGCCACAGAGGAACAAAAGCTTCCCAGTTCTCTGAGTTCTAGAGACTGTCTGCAGTTTCAGGCACGCATGGCCCAGAGGGGAAAGAAGATGGTCATGTGACTTCCAAGCCTGGAGACAAGGTCACCCTTGTCCAGCCCCGTTCCCCTTCACAGGAAGAAGAGCCTTTGACTGCCTGACAAAGGATGGGGCTGGTGCTGCCCTGGTGCTGGCTCCCGGGTGGTGGATTCTCCAATATCTGCATCTGTCAGGTTCAGGAGAACACAGGGCAAGGTCAGTGGTCCCCAGAGTCCACTCAGATGGGTTTGAGGGTCTCATCCTGGCCTCATTGTCCCATAATCCCAAAGGGGTTCTTCAGGTGGGACAGTTGCACATTCTGGCTGCATTTATTTTATTTTTCTATTGCAGCGTAATTTGTCCCTAAGAAATTCACCAGCAAGGCCGCCCTGTTTGTTTTCCACCAGCCATTTCCTGCCATTAAAAATATTTTCCTTCATGGAAGGAAAGAGCCTCTAGGAGAGAGAAGGAAAGCCCAGTGAAGATAAACAGTCAAGTGAAGCTGACCTTTAAAGGGGCCATCATGGGTCGGACGCGGTGGCTCACGCCTGTAATACCAGCACTTTGGGAGGGCAAGGTGGGCGGATCATCAGGTCAAGAGATCGAGACCATCCTGGCCAACATGGTGAAACCCCGTCTCTACTAAAAACACAAAAATTAGCTGGGCATGGTGGCACGTGCCTGTAGTCCCAGCTACTCGGGAGGCTGAGGCAGGAGAATCGCTTGAACCCAGGAGGCGGAGGTTGCAGTGAGCTGAAATAGCGCCACTGCACTCCAGCCTGGAGACAGAGCGAGACTCCGTCTCAAAAAAAAAAAAGGTGCCATTATGTTGCAACATCTGCGGCAGCATGGGGGCTGGCTGCAGGGTGGAGGCAGAAGTTAGCCAGGGAGGGGACAGTGGTGAAGTGAAGGGCACGGACTCCATGTCGAGGCAATGCTTCCAGGGATTCTGATGTGGTAGGTCTGGGGTGGGGCCCGGGAACCTGAAGTTTAACAGAGCACATAGGGATTCCCAGGCAAGTGGTCAAATGCATCCCACCGAGAGCCACGTCTGCGGTGGTAATATTCTTTAGCTGGACTGGCCTGTGCCCTCTTTTCTCAGAGAACACTATCCTAGCAAAAACTGGCTGGATGAGGGAGATTTCACCTGGCCAAGCTGTCTCCTGAGAATCTGGAACTGGGACTCAAAGCACGAGCAGTCTGTGTGTGCCAGTCAGGTTAGAAGCTTTGCTCACCAGGCGCGGTGGCTCACACCTGTAATCCCAGCACTTTGGGAGGCCGAGGCGGGCGGATCACCTGAGGTTAGGAGTTTGAGACCAGCCTGGCCAACATGGTGAAACCCCATCTCTACTAAAAATACAAAAATTAGCTGGGCGTGGTGGCGGGCGCCTGTAATTCCAGCTACTCCGGGAGGCTGAGGCAGGAGAATCGCTTGAACCCGGGAGGCGGAGGTTGCAGTGAGCAGAGATTGCACCACCATACTCCATCCTGGGTGATGAGCAAAACTCCGTCTCCAAAAAAAAAAAACAAAAAAAACAATTTTGCCAATAGGTTCTTTGGCTTCCAGGGGAGTCCTTGTCTCCTGTCCTACTCCTGCCCACCTTGGTCCTGCCAGGCACTCCCTCACTGCCTCAGTGCATCCCAGGACGCTGTCCCCCATAGCCTTCTGAGGGGTGGCCCCAACACTCACCCTGAGGATGCCACCTTTGCCCATGTTTCCTTGGGTTGTGCAGAGCCCTGTGCTCCTTGTGGGGGGCTCAGGCTGTCTGTCCAATGCCTGCCGGACAGCTCTGCCTCAGTGTCCCACAGCGACTGCAGTGGACTTAGCCCAAAAGAACTCATCAGGTTTCCTCTCACACCTGGCTCCTTTTACATTCCTTATGTCGAAGAGTGGCCCCTCTCTCCGCTCAGGCACCCATGTCAGGTACCGGAGCACCATCCCAGACACCTCCTCATTCTTAACCCCCACCTCTATTCTAGAATGAAAGGAACATCTACCTTTGATGGAAAACATACTGCAGGTAATAATAATTCATACAGCCCAATGCCTCACAAAGGCAGGTACTATAACTGTCTCCATTTGACAGGTGAGAAAACAGGCACACAGGGCCGTGTTACTCACCCCAGGTCACATGGTGAACAGTGGAACTGGGATGTGAGCCTGAGCTACCCAGCCCCATGCACGTGCCCCTGCCCTGGGAGTGCAGTCAGCATCTCTCTCCACAGCACTGGCTTGGGGGCCCAGGCATGCCCTCAGCATCTCCTGGCTGGGCCTGTAGAGTCTCCCGACTGGTTTCCTTGCCCTCGGTCTTACCCCGCTCAGATCTGTTTTCCCAGATGCAAGGAGGAATGCTTTCTAAACTGGGAATCTGATGTCACTCCTCCGCTGAAACCCTTCAAAGGCTCCCTGTTTTACCCTCACTGGCCTCACAGAGAATGAATGGAGGAAACTGAATCCTGGAGGGCTGACTCCAGGGCTGTGCTCCCAGCTACTGTCCCCCACAGCCTCTCCATGCCTGAGCTGTCTCATCTGCCAAAGAGGGAAAGTGGTACCCATGGCGAAGAGTTGTAGGATATGCACAGTGTCTGCCAGCAGAGTGCCTGGCGCAGAGTGGGCAGCTCATACGTGGAGCTTCTATTAGCTTCTTTCCTTCCTAAGAAGGAAAGTGTGGGGCAAGAAGGGGGTGGAGAGGAAGAACTGGTTGCTCTGAGAGGCAAGGTCAGTTCCACCTGGGATAATAATTACATAAGCACTTTAGAGGCATTTTGTCAAAACATAGCCTCCATAGCCTCCTGAGGAATAGATTCCATTACCCTTTTCAGATGGGGAAGCTGAGGCTGAGTAGTCGAGGGACTGGATCTAGGCCGGCTCGAGCCCAGATCTCTCTGCTGCAGAGCCTTGTGCTCTGCCCTGACCCTCCTTGGATGTGGGCTGCAATGCAATGGTTTTGGAGTACCTAATCTTTCAGATCGTACCAGCTGAAGGTCGGCTGTGGGTCGAAGCTGTCACAAGACTGGAAGAAATTTGGAGGCACTACTAGGAAACAGCAAGCAAAAGGCGAGGACTGGCACCCAAGGGGAGGCAGGAATCCCACCACAGACACCCTCCGCTTGTCCCACGCTCTCTGGGGAACTCCCATAGAAATGACAGCATAGGGCCCATCACTCTTTCTACAACAATGAGAATATTTATTTTTTCCAGAAAGTAAAAATAACATTTTTTCTCGTTTGTAAAAGTACCATTACATTCCATTTTCTTAAATAACAAAACCCTAAAAATATATATTAAATTGTATACAGTGCGTCACACTTCATCTTATATTTTAAAATACATGATGTTTCTATTTTATTCTCAAAGTTGCATATTAAGAGCATATTTACAAATAAAGCCTTGTCATCCAAAGTCAAAATCCCTGCTGGAAGCTGAGTTTGGATGTGGGAAGGTCTTGACGTGCATGAGACCCACGATGGCAGCTCCCGTGCGGGCGGGGAAGGGCCTCCAGTCTTTGTGTCTAAAGACCCTTCCTTTCTGAAGCAGATTTCCCTCTGACTTTCCTCCACACCCCACTTCTGCCTCCGTACCCAACTCAGCAAGACGGAAGCCTGTGAGATGTGCCCACCAGGGGTCTGCAGGCAGAGGGTGAAGCCCTGTCACCCCGGAGCCGTCCAGCCTGAGGGGAGACAGCTGTGGCTGGAAGGCTTGAAAAACACCCCACACCAGGGAAGCTAAGCTGAGACCTGGCCAGGAGGTAGAACAGTGAGGAAGGTAAACAAAGACACCAGAGGAAACAATCCAAACTCCCAAGGTAGGAACAAAAGCCGACATCAAACACCACACGGGAGATCTGAAACCTAACGGTGCCAGGTGGTGGGGTGTGGAGCTGCCCGGCTCCGTGGGAGACCTGGCCTGACCTCAGCAGACCAGGGAGGCAGGGTCTCGGAGGCCATCCGCGTATAAGTGCTTGTGAAGAGTAAGCGTGCAGTGCCAGGATGCATCGGGGCTGGGTGATGGCCTGGCTGGGCTGCAGGCAGATCCTGAGCCCGGCCAGGAAGGCTCCTGCCTGGGCTGACAGTGGGGCATGTGGGTGGAGCCGCACCCAGGCACGCCCGTGGGTTCTACCCGAGGGCCAGGACAGCTGAACTTGCTAGTGCTTTGATCTCTGTGGGCTTCTGGCCGATTGGAGTCTTGAGCCAGAGCCCACTCTTCAGAAGTTAGAGCAGCCTGGTTTCCTCGCTCACGCCCAGAGAGGCCTCAAGCCTGTCCTGACGTGGGGGACAGGGCGGGTGAAGTCACTCGGGTTCACTCCTACTCATTCTCTGCTTTGCAAGCAACTGGACAAACGGGGAAGAACAGGGCACCGTGTGCCTCCCGCCTGCCTTCTCAGAAGGGCCAAGGACACTGAGAAACGCTGCTAGAAACTAGGGGCCACAGCTGGCCAAGACACTGTCACCACGGAGAGTGACAAGATCGGCTGGTGAGGGCTCTCCTGTTGGCACAGGTACCAAGAAGGCAGGGCCTGGCGCCAGCGGGGAACAGGGGTGAGGATGGCACGCAGGCCCAGTGCAGCCTCCTCCCACGCTCTGTCACCTCAGGAGGGGCTTTGGCCAGGGTGCTTTCAGAGCTCTGTCCACAGTGGTCCCCGAAGCCCCTCCCCTGCCTCTCCTGCAGTCTTCTGCCATGGGTTCTGACTGACTTTCCCAGGGTTACCCTCTTTTCGCCACCTCCAACCCCCACTTTATCTCATCTAAGGAGTTTCCTAAAAGTTCAAGTGCCACCTCCTCCATGCTCCTGGAAGCCCACGTCATCTCTTCTGGAGCAGTTTCTTTCTCAGGTGTTTACCTAGCCGCAGTGGCCTTCTGTGGGGTGTCGCTGACTTTCTACCTGGTTCTAACTGAGTCCATAGCCAGGCTGCGGCAGGAGCCAGTGCCCACGGAGGCTTAGCCTGGGATGATTTACAGCCCTCCTGCCCGTACGCTGTCCTGAGCCAGATTTGGGTTTCCCGGGGCTGCTCCACGGATCGTAAGTTGATCCTAGAGGCGCTGGGCCATGCCAGGGCGAGGCAGGAAGAGAAGCGCTGGGGCATCCCCAGCACCTCCCAGGCCCTCCGAGGAAGTGCTGCCCCCGCTGCAGGCTGTGACAGCACATTGGCTTGGGCATGGCCTCCCCTGACTGAGATGTGAGGAGGGCAAGGTGGGCATTTGGGCTGCAGGACACCCCAGAGGCCAGTGGTCAGTGTCAGCCCCAGGCAACTGAACAACTGCCCCCTGGCCGGGTGAACTCTTCCTGGGGCCACGTGCCACATTCCCTTTGTGCTGCACATGGATCTATTCACAGCACAGGACCCGTTGGGACGACACACACCTGACACTTATGTTTGAGAGAGATTCCACAAACAGCATGAATAGCTTGGAGGGGAGACTGCACGTGTTGGTATGTTTCCAGCGGTCCTCCTGTGTGACAGGCCTCTTGGAGACAGAGGCCTGCGGACAGCTGCTCTTTCCAGATCAAAGCATGAAGGCTGCACCGAGCAGCTCTGTGCCCTCAGCAGGCCTCCCACGGGGCCTGGGGTGGCAGTCCTGCCCCTGCCTGCCTGTGACACATTGCTCCGTTTCCCTCCTCTGAAGGCCCCTCTGCCTGAAGCTCCAAGCACCTCTCCTGAACTCAGGCTGCCGAGTGCCACCTCTCCCTGCAGACACTTCCTGTGTGGCCCTCTTTCCTCCCAGGGGCGGCAGGTGCAGAGGTGTTTCCAGAACCTCAGTAGGAGCCCCAGCAGGCAGTGGCTCAGGGCTTGGGGGAGGTAGGCAAAGTGCTGCAAAGAGGAAACGCCAAAGCCAGAGGCGCAACAATCACCCAGGCCCAAGTGCCTTGTGGAGAGGCACGCTCTGACGAGGGCCTAGGCCTGGCCAGCAGAGGCACAGGCTGCTTTTCTCAGCTGCTGTTGACAAAGCCTGATTCCAGATGGCAAGGACTTTTAAATTAGTGATGGCACTTACTCTCCCAACCAGCAGCCACTACAGCTGCAGCACTCAATCTTAGGAGGAGCTCCTTGGAGGAGCTCCAATTCCCAAACCCACCCTCTTCTGGCACCAATCTCTGCAGCCCACCTCCCTATCTAAGGGACAGGGTGGCAAGGGACTGGGGACAAGAGTGCTCTCCTTCCCCACTGAGCCATTCCTAACCCCACTTGGTCCCCACAGGAGGGGCAGAGAGCACGGATGGCCCTTGGAGTGTTTTTTTTTTTTTTGAGACAGAGTCTTGCACTGTCACCCAGGCTGGAGTGCAGTGGCGTGATCTCTGCTCACTGCAAGCTCCGCCTCCCGGGTTCACGCCATTCTCCTGCCTCAGCCTCCCGAGCAGCTGGGACTACAGGCGCCCACCACCACACCCAGCTAATTTTTTGTATTTTTAGTAGAGACGGGGTTTCACCATCTTAGCCAGGATGGTTTCGATCACCTGACCTCGTGATCCACCCGCCTCAGCCTCCCAAAGTGCTGGGATTACAGGCATGAGCCACCGCGCCCGGCCCTTGGGGTGTTTTTTATCTTTTAACACGGGGGACACCAGAAGGAAGGACCACAGGCCCCATGTCTCATATAGTGCTGCCTAAGGGCAAAAACACAAGATTGATACTCTCCACTCTGAACTGAGAGTTAGCTGAGCCAATCATGGAGAGACTGAGGCCTGGCTCAGGTTCCATAGGACCATGAGCTGCTCAGTGGCAAGGCTGATAAAGCCAATCCTGAGTACTTACTGAGTGCCCATAAAAGCTTGCAGGAGAATTTATTGCATGAGTAAATGAATGGATTTTTTTTGTTTATTTGTGTTTTGTTTTTTTGAGACAGAGTCTCACTCTTGTCACCCAGGCTGGAGTGCAGTGGTGCGATCTCGGCTCACTGCAATCTCAGCCTCCTGGGTTCAAGCTGTTCTTCTGTCTCAGCCTTCTGAGTAGCTGGGATTACAGGCGCCTGCCACCACGCCTGACTAATTTTTATATTTTTAGTAGAGACGGGGTTTCACCATGTTGGCCAGGCTGGTCTCGAACTCCTGACCTCAGGTGATCTGCCCGCCTCAGCCTCCCACAGTGCTGGGATTACAGGCATGAGCCATCGCGCCCAGCTGAATGGATGTTTTATATGACCAAAGCTCTTAAAGCTTTCCCTGCAGCTCCATGAGCTATGGAAAGAAGAATCTAGAAAGAAGCCCATGTGTAAGGTATCAGGTTTGATATAAATGGGGGTCACTAGATCTTATTCTCAGACCCTCCCAGGCTGAAGGAGGCCCACCCTAGTCCAGCATCTGGAGAGCAAAGCTGCCGGGGCAGCACAGACACTGCCCTCTTTACACCTCGCTAATGTCCAGGAGTCCGCACTTGTATGGGACCAACTCCCAAGAGTACCTGAGAGTTCTCCCTGTCTGGCCCTGTTCCAAGACATAAAGATCAGGAGAAACTGATTTGTGTGTGGACAAAAATAGAGAAGCAAGAAAAATTCAATGTAACTAAAGCTACCCACCACCTGACAGCCATCTAGAATGTACCTGAGCCCTGTGCCAGCCATGACCACCTCTGTCATCTCAGCCTCACTGTCCTGACACCCCCACTGCTAGCTAGATCAGAGAGAGATGCAGAGAGGGCCGGGCCCCAGGGCTTTGAGTCTCTCTCCTAAGTGCAATCGATGAAGCAGGAGGAATCCAGGCTCTGCCTGCCCTGGCAGCAGGGTGCCTCTTCCTAGTCTGTAGGAGGAGGGTTTCCCCGAAGAGGCCGAGGCAGAGGGAGAGGAGGGGAAGAGTCTGTCAGAGAAGAACCACAGGAGAGGTTGACCACGGCAGCCTTGAGCTCAAAGAGGGACCTCAAGTCCTAGGCACAGTGGGGTTTTTAGTCACTCACAAGGGGATTGCGGTCATCTTGTTGACTCTGACCCTTGAGTTTCTTCTTAAAGATGGAAATTGAAGTGGAAGGCTTGTAAAAAATGCTCCAGATTTCCCCCGAAGTCCCTGGTTGATGACAATCCCTAAGGTCCCCTGAAGCAGGAACACGATGGGATCTGTCAAGCAGATAAATATTTTTTCCAATAGATTAGAACAACGCAAACAACCTACCATCTCACGAGATACTGTATCTATGAAATGGGGTGGGGCAAGGTCTTGGGAAGGACCTCACAGCCACCTCTAAAGATCTGAAGGACTAGCGTGCAACTGAAATGTGGCCTGTGGGCAGCAGGGGCTGAGGCCAAGTGCAGCAGGGCAGCGTCTGCATCAGAATAACAAAGAACTTTCTAACTAGCAGAATTCTTCAAATCTGGAAAAGCCCAGCCTGAGAGATTATGGATTTTCAAATTCTTTTATTTTAAATAAAAGAACTGTCTTCAAATGCCATTTACCTGGAAGCCCACCTAGCTAAAACAAGATAAACACAAAACTTCTCTGCTTCAAGCAGAGACCCGTCTAGCCTCCGGTGCTGGCCCGGACTCTGTTCAGCCCCCACGGCTGCCTGGCAGGGAAGCTGCAGCCGATGTCAGAGGAGAGTTAGGCATGCACTTTAGGGCCTCAGCCATGCTATCAGATGCTGGACGCTATAGGAAGCATTGGGCTCTCTTGCTGCCACAGGGGATGTGGTCAGGACTGAGCCTGAGAGGCTTCCCCAGAGCATGTGAATTGTGACTTTAAAACACACATACACACACACACAGACACACACACACAGACACAGACACACACACACACACATGCACATGCAGACACACACACACACACACACACACGAGGACATTATTTCCACTAAAAATTTCAAGTGTAGGGTGGAGGTGTCTATGTAAAGGGGTTCCAATGTGGCCAAAGGCAGCATTCACAACGCAATGGAAGAGCTCGCATTTAATGTATAAGAAGTCTGTAGCAGAGGGCAAGTGAGACGGTCAGGAAAAAGACAGCTTTTAGTGGACATACATACATTTTCAGGGAGGCTGTGAAATGAGAAGAACCTGGAGTAGAAAGCACCGGAAAGACAGAGTAGGGGTCTAGGAAAAATTAGAACGAGCTCCCCTCTAAGTACACAAACATTAGTAGCATGAACAATTGCCCCTTTCCTGGAAGGTGGAACTGTTAGACTTGAATAGCAAAATAAGGGAAGGAAATATATTTTAACCCAAATTGGTCAGAATTGAATGATAAAGCTTCCATAAGTTTTTTCAATAACTGTTTTAAAATAACTACTGAGCAATAGTTAATAAAATGTGAGAATTCTCTTCCTAAGGATGTTTCTCAATTTCTAGAAGGCATCAGGAAGTATGCACGGCATCGTCCTAGCTATCTTCAGTCTTGCATAAAGATCTCCGTAAGGGACTAGCACATTTGCTTTTTAAGCCAGGAATGTTGCAATCCTCCTTGAAATTGTATGCCTTGGACACAGAGCAAACAAAATCCCTGAAACCTTAATGAGATTTGTCCAGTTGTACATTTCACTCTACAAAGAAGGGGGAATGTCTGCTGCCTTCCGTTCCCTAGGACTGAGGGCTTTGGAATCATGTGCTTATTCTACAGTTGTAACCAGACAAATGAAGCATCATAGAAAATGAACTCTGAGCCTTCCCTTTCCTGGAATTGGGCAGCTCCCTCTTGTACTCACTTGAATGTGACGTGCAGAAGTATCTTTGCTACAATGGCTGTGACTGTGAGGATGAGGAGAGTTGCCAGACCATAGACTGTCCATCCTGCAAGTGCAAAAGACAGAGCTTACCAGACTTGTTTATGGTTGGTTTTCGAAAGGAGGTCGGCTGGAATACCCAAGTGAGTAAGTCTGGCTGAGGGGCTCCCTGCAGGCCGGTGTGGGAGGGCAGCTAGCAAACCTAGCCTCAGGAGCAGCTGACCCAGGCTAAGCATGGGGCCCCAGGTGTTCTGAATATTTCCCTTTGTTCTACAAGTCACTCTCAGGGAGAGGCAGACAGGATGATCCAAAGTCTATTGGACTCAGAATCTAAAGGGATGACATGCATTTTGTCTCTGCCACTGGGACCACTGTGTAACCACAGATGGAGTTATGTAAACTCTTTGGGCCTCAGTTTCCTCATCCGAGGAATGAGATATGTGACCTATGAGATGCTACCTATGAGAACCACAGCCTAATGACGCACAGGAAGTGCTGGACAGGCCCTTCTCCCTGACCTTCTATGGTGGGTCCTGCAGGGGCCCAGGGCAATTTGAAAGCCTCCAGGCTAGGTCACCACTGAGGATACTTTCCAGTTCTACCAGCTCATAAAGGCATCACTTCCTTGGCTCACTGCATCCTCAAGCTCCTGGGCTCAAGCAATCCTCCTGCCTCAGCCTCCCGAGTAGCTGAGACTATAGGCATGTGCCACTACGCCCAGCTAATTTTTCTACTCTTTTCTTTTTGAGACAAGGTCTCATTCTGTCACCCAGGTTGGAGTGTAATGGTGCAATCATAGCTCACTGCATTCTTGAACTCCTGGGCTCAAGCGATCCTCCCACCTCAACCTCCTAAGTAGCTGGGACCACAAGCGTGCACCACCACACCCAGATAATTTTTTTTATTTTTTGTAGAGAAAGGGTCTCCCTATGTTGCTCAGGCTAGTCTCGAACTCCTGGCCTCAAGCAATCTTCCTGCCTCGGCCTCCCAAAGTGCTGGGGTTACAGGCATGAGCCACTGCACCTGGCCCTGCATGACTTTTCTTCATAGCTCTTATCATTATCTGATTTTTATTTTGCTTTCTATCTTTCTCCTCTCATTTATACGCCACAGAAGGGCAGGGGTTGTGTTTGGTTCACTCTATAATCCAGTACCTAGAACAGTGCCTGGCACCACTGAAGCACTTATATATCTTTTGAATGAATGAGTCAGTGAGTGAATGAATGGAGTTCTTGCAAATGCCAGTGGATTTAGGGAGTTTCCATGTGGGGCTCTAGAAAGATAATCTCAATGTGGGAAAATACGGGATTAGCTGATTAGTCACAATGTACAAAAGGCACGCTTGCCTAATTTTTGGAGGTGAGCACTTTTCCCTCAGGACTAAGGAACCAAGCTAATAAGAAAATTTCCCTCAAAAGCCAGGACAGACTATAGGTCACAGAGCCAGTATCCCAACCTGCCTCTGAATAAGAAACACCCAAGTGCTTTTGTCTTTATAACTGTCAAGAGCGCTACCTTCAACTCTGTGGCTTCCAGCCCCCATGGGTGGCGCCCAGGAATTGCTACCTGGGACAGTCTGAGGTGGGTGGCTGGGGCTGGTGGTGATGACATAGAGGACTTTGGAGGACCGGGCAGCGCTGACACTGAGGTTGGCCTGCTCCGTGATCACCTCGGCCACCGTCTGGTTGACAGCGGGCCTCTCCTGTGGCAGTTCTTCCTTGACGGCTGGAAGAGAAAAAGCAATTAACTGGGGACAGGGCTATGGAGACAACAAAGAGTTGTGCGGGAGGAGAGCACGAGTTATGAAGAAGAGTTCTTCTCTGATTCAATTCTGGGTGCAATTCCTTCCATAGGTGGGTCCCACCAGCCCCAAAACAGAACCTGTCAGGCTGTCACCCTTTAGAAGGCAGAAGGATGAACCTGTCAACTTCACAGAATGTGGCTAGTCTCATCTCAGACACCTGGGCATGGTTTACAGCTTCTCTGCCCCTGTACTTGGCAGCTATGGCTCCCTATGCCTGGAAGGTTCGCTTTTTTCCTATTGATCCAAATGCTACCTGTTCCTCAAGACTGTCCCACCTGGAGAGAGGGCCTCTTCCCATGGGTCTCCTGGAGCACACACTACCTGAACTCTTCTTGAGGTTTGCTATCCAGGACAAAGACAATGTCTCAAACACCTTCTGTGTTTCTTGTGTCCTGGCAAAGAGATGTGCCCGGCACACATGTGCTCACATTACAGAGGCAGAGAGTGTGGCTCCATCATAGCAGGGTTTGAAGATGGCAAGCCAGTCTTTTGGAATTAGCTAGGATGTTTAGAGGAAGGAGGACGGACCAGATGACCTTTTGATAACCTTCCAACTGTCCCAGTCTCAGCTGTTCCTTTTAGTTATTCTGTTTTTTTAAATTCTTTTAACCCTCCCATGAAAACTGTCATTAGACCTACTAAAATAGCCAAATTGACAGGTTTTCACCTCTTTTCTGTCTCATGAAACATAAATGAGTTATGAAATGGGGGTAGGGAAGGAGCCACAGCCTCGGGGTGATCTGCAAGTTGAGTCAGTAGTTCCTGAGGCCCAATCTGCCCCGCAAGAACTGCCCAAGTCACAAGGGTGAAGAAGAGAAGCCCAAGGCACGTGGGCCCTGAAGAACCCCCAAGGAGGCAAAGATGTCTTACCTTGGTATAAAACAGCAAATCCCTGGGCCTGATTGATGCGATCAGAGAAGAAATACAAGATGACGAAGTCCAGAGAGACGTTGAAGGACAGAGGTGGGCGGCTCCTCCCGTGGAAGCGGGCTAGGACACGGTGGGTGTAGCCATCCAGAAGCTCCACCATGTCCGCCGAGTCCCTGATGTCAAATAGGGGGAAGCTGAAGTGGATGTGGGAGGCCCCCGGAACCCGGATGGTCCAGTAGCAGACCCTCCCCGTGGCATAGGTGTCGGGGAAGTCAGGGGAATAGACCACAGAAGACATGGCTGAGTAGTTCCCACCGCAGGCGCCCACGAGAGCTGTAGGAGAGAAAAAGACACCACGCCCTCAGTCTGGGCCTTTGCCACAGGCGCGCTTCCAACACCAAGGCACTAAAGCCTTCCTAACGAGCAGGATCCCATTTAGGACATTGTTTCTATCTGTAAAACCTGACAGTCACAAAACGAATCGCTGAGACTCTCGAAAAATGACTGTGGAGATGTTTTTCCCCCCAGAGACCTTAGAATTAGCACACAGCACAGTGGTGTGGCCTAGGTTGGGGCAGGGCTGGAGTCAGAGAGTCTGGACTTGGGACTGGCAGGGCCAAGTGATGGCAGGGGCCGCACTTCACTCGCGGGCCTCTTGCTTCTCTCAGTTTCAAGGCTGGAGAGAGCACCATCTGCTCCTGTATCACGGGAATGTGTGATGGCACATGAGACAAAGCACACGAACCACTCAGGCCACTCTGCAGGGAAGCCACCCGATGAGGTAAAGCTGTCAAAAGAGAAGGGCTTTACAGCTGCTTGTGTGTCCCCAGTACCCATGCAACGCTCCCATGAGGGACCACGTTTTCAAGCAGGGAAACTGCAGCACAAGAAATGACTTTCTGCAGTGAGGAAACATGCTAGATTCTGAGCACTCTGTACTGGGCACATTTGCTTTCTCTGGACTCCTGTTTTTGATAGGCATGTTCTAGAAAGGGGATGCAGTGATTTCCTGTCTTACATGGTGAAATGTAAACAAGATCTTAGAACTGAAACTCCTTGGGAGGGAATGTAGGGCTAGGATTCTATTTTTTTTTTTTTTTGAGAAGGAGTCTCCGTCTGTCTCCCAGGCTGGAGTGCAGTGGTGTGATCTCGGCTCACTGCAACCTCCTTCTCCTGGGTTCACACCAATTCTCCTGTCTCAGCCTTCCGAGTAGCTGGGACTACAGGTGTCCACCACCAGGCTGGCTAACTTTTTTTGTATTTTTAGTAGAGATGGGGTTTCACCGTGTTAGCCAGGATGGTCTCGATCTCCTGACCTCGTGATCCACCCGTCCCGGCCTCCCAAAGTGCTGGGATTATAGGCATGTGCCACCGCACCCGGCCAGGGCTAGGATTTAAAAAGCAGGCTTTGGGGGAGTTCTGGTTCCCTTTAGGATGTAGAAAACAACAAGCAGTCCGGGCGCGGTGGCTCACGCCTGTAATCCCAGCACTTTGGGAGGCCAAGGCAGGTGGATCACCTGAGGTCAAGAGTTAAAGACCAGCCTGATCAATATGGTGAAACCCCGTCTCTACTAAAAATACAAAAATTAGCTGGGCGTGGTGGCGTGTGACTATAGTCCCAGCTACTAGGGAGGCTGAGACGGGAGAATTTCTTGAACCCGGGAGCTGGAGGTTGCAGTGAGCCGAGATCACGCTACTGCACTCCAGCCTGGGCAACAGAGTGAGGCTCTGTCTCAAAACAACAACAACAAGTGAATGCTGCTTCTATCCTAACAATGAGAAAAAGCTTAAAACTCAGCTGAGGTCTCATGACAACCAGGGGAACTTAATTCTACAAAATCAAAGCCCCATCAAGGAGAGTCAGGCCACACAAACAGTTTCATCTTTGAGAGAACACAGGAGGAAGAGGTGACCGCCAGAGAAGTAACAAGAAAGCACTAAAATTTTAACAAACTCTTAAAGGCTGAGAGTGGGCTAGTGTCTCAGCTTAGGGCAACTGGGAGTCCCAGACACAACGGGCATTTTGCACTCACTTGTGAGCTTTTCTGCACAGACCTCCACTCAGTGCTTTCACAAGTGACTCGGGTTGGCCAGCAGACCACAGTCCCCCTGAGTGGCATGAGTGTGCAGGAGGTGACAGGCTGCCACTGGCGGACAGGAATGGAATACTGCCCACTTCCTTCTCTTCACACTTGCAGGAAGGGACTCTCCTCTCTAAGAAAGTAAAAGCCTTCGGCAGCTGGGAGAGGGGAAGCAAATCCTGTTACTCCCAGGGCCACTGAAAACAGACAGAAGCAAAATCTGTTTGCCTCTGGGGGAGGGAGTAGACCTGATTTGACTAGAAAAGTCTATACCAAACACCATTTCACAAACCCAAATTTCAGCCTCCTTGAAATTCCCCTTCCTATCAAAGTAACCAGGTGAAGATTCACTGCTTCTAGGGGAAGAACAGAAGCAAAAGCCATTGGTCCCTGATTGCCTTGAGCCCTCTTGAGTCCAGGATACTGCAGCCGATGCAAAGCAGAGCTCTACTACTCCTGGAGGGAGGGCAAGAAATTCTCCTTCCCAAGATCCACCACAGACGCAAGGCAGTGTTTGGCTGCCAGGGAGAGAAGAAGGGTGTGGGAATGCTGAAAAGACCTCAGGCTGGTGGCCTTTACACATCCTGTCTAAGACTGAGGACAGGGCAGGAGAACCAAGAACCACCTCCATGACCTCACCATGAGTACAGCCAGGTAACAAACAGCCATAGCCTACCACTGAGGGAGGGAAAGAGGGTGGAGAAGGAGCCCCTCTGTGGCACAGGCATGTGGGAACTCCTCAAAGCTGAGGATGGAACAGGGCTACTGAGGAAAACTCACGGGTACTCTAGGCTCCACACTAAGCACAAGCTGATAGCAGCCCGTCACTGGAGGAATTTAAAGCCTGATGTGCATTGAGGGTAGTGATAGAAACAACCTAGCTCAACTTCTGATAGACTGGCTCAGTCCCTACACTATGCAGATCTGCCCAGGTGTAAACACTATCTCAGCCCCTAGTGTTCTTCTATACATAGCATATGGCATTCAATAAAAAATTACAACACACATATAAAAGCAAGGGTGGGAGGGGGGAAAGACATTGTTAAAACAATCTACAGAACTAGACTCAATGATGACCCAGATGCTAGAACGATCAGACAGAGACTACATGATGAATACGGTAAATAATCTACTGGAGGCAAGGCATGGTGGCTCATGCCTGTAATCCCAACACTTTGAGGGGCCACGGGAGGAGGATCTCTCAAGGCTAGGAGTTCAAAACCAGCCTGAGGAACACAGTGAGACCCCATCTCTACAAAAATTTTAAAATTAGCCAGGCATGGTGGTGTGTGCCTGCAGTCCCAGCTACTCAGGGTTCTGACGCAGGAGGATCACTTGAGCCCAGCAGGTCAAGGCTGCAGAGAGCTATGATTGCACCATTGCACTCCAGCCTAGGTGGCAGAGTGAGACCTTGTCTCTTAAAAAAAAAAAAAATCTACTGGAAATCAAACAATATTGGAGATGAATTTTTTTTTAATTATAGAATGCTTCATGAATTCGCATGTCATCCTTGCACAGGGGCCATGCTAATATACTCTGTTTTGTTCCAATTTTAGTATATGTGCTGCTGAAGCAAGCACTGAAGAATTCCTTTGATGGGCTTATCAGGATACTAGACACAGCTGAGGAAAGAATCAATAAACATGAAGACAGGTCAATAGAAATTATCCCCAAATGAAACAAAGGGGAAAACAAAGTGAAACAAAGAGAACAGAGCTCCCAACAGCTGTAGGACAATATCAAATAGTCTAACATACGTGTAATTGCAGTGCCAAAAGAAGAAAAAAAGAATGGAACAGAAGAAATGTTTGAAGAGATAATGGTGAAAAATGTTCCAAAATCAGTAAAAGGTGACAAACTACAGATCCAAGAATTTCAGCAAACCCAAGCAAACAAAAAAATTAAAAACAAAAACAAAAGCAAAAAAAACAAACAAAAAAAAACAGACAAAGAAGACACACCTAGACACATCATAGTTAAATGTTGAAAACCAGTCTGGGCATGGTGGCTCATGCCTGTAATCCCAGCACTTTGGGAGGTTAAGGCAGGAGGACTGCTTGAGCCCAGGAGTTCAAGATCAGTCTGGGTAACATAGTGAGACCCTATCTCTATACAAAATTAAAAACTTAGCTGGGTATGGTGGCACATGCCCATAATCCCAGCTACTCAGGAGGCTAAGGCAGGAGGATTGCTTGAGCCCAGGGGGGTCGAGGCTGCAGTGGGCCATGACTGCACTACTGCACTCTAGCCTGGGTGACAGAGTAAGACCCTGTCTCAAAAAAAAAAAAAAGTTGAAAACCAAAACCAAAGATAAAATCTTTTTTCTTTTTTCTTTTTTTTTTTTTTGAGATGGAGTCTCGCTCTGTTGCCCAGGCTGGAGTGCAATGACGCGATCTCTGCTCACTGCAAGCTTCACCTCCTGGGTTCACGCCATTCTCCTGCCTCAGCCTCCCAAGTAGCTGGGACTACAGGCATGCGCCACCTCGCCTGGCTAATTTTTTGTATTTTTAGTAGAGACGGGGTTTCACCGTGTTCGCCAGGATGGTCTCGATCTCCTGACCTCGTGATCCACCCGCCTCGGCCTCCCAAAGTGCTGGGATTACAGGCATGAGCCACCACATCCGGCCTCAAAACCAAAGATAAAATCTTGAAGGCAGGCAAGGAAGAGGAAAAGATTACATACAGGGGAATAAAGATAGAGCAGACATCTCTAAAAACCATACAAGTCACAAGAATATGGACCAATATCTTTGAAGTACTGAAAGAAAAAAGCTGTCAGCACAGAAATCAATACCCAGCAAAAATTACTCAAAAAAATGCAGGTGAAATAAAGCTTTTTCGAACAATAGCTGAAAGAAGCTATTGACAGTCAACCTGTACTAGACAAAATGCTAAAGGAATTTCTTTAGGGGAAAGGAATATACCAGATGGCAAATAAGAATACAAAAAGATGTTCAATATCATTGGTAATTAGAGAAATGCAAATTAAAACCACAATGAGATACTACTACATACCTACTAGAATGGATCACATTTAAAAAACAGATCATACAAAAGTATCTGTAGCTGGAGAGAAAGTGGAGCAAATGAAAATCATACATATTGGTGGTCAGAATGCAAAATGGCACATCCACTTTGGAAAACAGTTGGCAGTGACTTATAATGCTAAATATGCACTTAGCACATGACCCAGCAATCCCACTCCTAGGTAGGTACCCAAGAGAAATGACAACATATGTCCACATAAGCACCTGTACTTGGATGTTTACAACAGCTTTATCATAGACAGACCAATGTTTGTCAATTGGTGAATAGATGAACAGATTGCGATACATCTGTACAAAGGAACGCTTCTTAGCAATAAAAAGGAAAAAAACTACTGATACAGGCAACAACATAGGTGAATCATAAAGCATTATTCTGGCCGGTCGTGGTGGCTCACACCTGTAATCCCAGCACTTTGGGAGGAAAAGGCGGGTGGATCACCTGAGGTCCGGAGTTTGAGACCAGCCTGACCAACCCGGAGAAACCCCATCTCTACTAGAAATACAAAATTAGCCATGTGTGGTGGTGCATGCCTGTAATCCCAGCTACTCCGGAGGCTGAGGCAGGAGAATGGCTTGAACCAGGGAGGCGGAGGTTGCTGTGAGCCAAGATCGCGCCATTGCACTCTAGACTGGGCAACAAGAGTGAAACTCCATCTCAAAAAAAAAAAAAAAAAAAAAAAAGCATTATTCTAAGTGAAAGAAGCCAGAGACAAATGGCTAAATACTGTGATTCCATTTATATAATATTCTGCAAAACACAAAACTATATATATATATACATATATATATACATATATACATATATATACACATATATACATATATATACATATATACATATATATACACATATATACATGTATATATGCATATATATACATGTATATATATACATATATATACACACATATATATACATATATACATATATATACACACATATATACATATACACACACACACACACACACACACACACACACACATATATATATATATATATATATATATATATATATATATGAACAGAATACAGATCAGTTGTTGCTGAGGAGTTGGGTTGGGGAAGGGAACTGACCACAAAGGAGCAGAAAGGAACTTGTGAGGTGATAAAAAAAAAAAGTCCTAATCTCGATTGCTTATATATTTGTCAAATCCCACTGAAGTATACAACTGAAAGGGTGATTTTTACTGTATGTACATTATACCTAAAATTAGAACCTAATTTAAGAAAAAATCAAGCTTTGGAGAAAGACTTCCTGGGTTCTAATCCTGACTTCACCATGTACTAACTATGAATTTGAGCAGGTTACTAAACCTCTGTATATCTCAGTTTATTCATCTATAAAATGAAAATGGTAATAGTTTCTCTCTCGTGGGGTCATGAGAATTAGCAGGAGCAATGCTTATGAAGTGTTCTGTGTAAGATGTGACACACAGTATAAGCTCAGTAAGTGTTGGGTATTCTATTTTTACCATTATTTGAAAAGAATAAAGTATCCAACTGAAACTGGTATTTTTCAATAGCAAGGGCAGACCTTAAACCTAAAACTTTGGATTCCATGCTGACAGCATATTTAATTCAGCAGTTTTGAGAACAGATGATCTTTATGATGGATTATTAAAATTCAGTGATAATCCAACAGGAAACTTGAAATATAGTAGTCAAGACCTTATTTTTTGAAGGAGAGATTAGCCCGACATATACAATCTGGGTGAGTGGAGGGCCCAGGATAGACCTGGGCAAGCCCTCCATGGCAGGGGGCCGGTGTCCTCCTGCCTTCTGTGATTCTCTTCAATCTTCCTGCTCCTTCTCGATACTAGCTGAGTCCATTTCTTTGGGAAGAAGCCTCAGGCACTAGTCATGACAGGCAGCTTCCCGGAACCCCAGCTGAGTGCTCCACTTCTAGACAGGAATGATAATGGGCATGTCTCAGGAAACAAACCTTAGCCAAATGGGTCCCAGCCATGAATCAGATTCCACTCAGGATGGAAAGATTCTACTCTTTCTTGGCACCCAAGAAAGAAGGCTGGTACCATATTTCATCAACTCTAAGGGATACACTTTAATCTTTTAAACTGGGATGTATCTTTTAGTCAATGCATGTCATTGTTAAACTGGAAATACTTTTTCCCTTAATGGTGTATAAAATAATGTTGCACCTCAGAATTGAGGCATCTTAGAGTCTATGAAATGCAATTGCTAACACAGTCCCAGGAGCCAGATCCTACCCATCCTTAGACCAATCACTTTCACAATTAATCTCTTCCCTTCCCACTAAAATAAAGGTTCCATGAAGGCAGGATCTTTATCTGTGGGACCTTGGGCAGATTACTGAACTTTTATGAGCCTCAGTTTTCTCATCTGTAAAATAAGCATAACAGTACCTGCTTCACAGTACTGTGAGAATTAAGGGAGACAACGCATGTAAAGTGAATAGCACAGGCTCCTGTCAATGATAAATGTTCAACTAATGCTACAAAATAAGGTCCAATCCAGATGACTGACCCCTCCCTTCAGGGCCTAGAAGCCAAGGGAGTCCCAACAGGCTAGCCTGGGTAGTTCCTGTAACCCACTGTTGACTCTGGCCTACATGTTCTTCTGTTTGGTTATGTTAATTCAATAAATTATAATCCCTAGGGGTAGCAGAGGCTATGAAGCCCCCGTCAGTGTTGTGCTTGCCCACAGTACACAGCTCACCTCTGTGACCTCTCCAAGTCCATGAGCTTGCTGAAAAATCAGCCAGAGAGTCTGTGACAAATTACTTGATGTGGCAGTGATGACTGAGCAGACAGCTTCTGCCAGCTGCCCCTCACCCTCCACCCCCACTAGCCCCGTCGTCTGTCTGCCAAAGAGCAAACACAGCCTGAGTACTTCTACTGCAGAGGAGCCTGGGTGTTCCTCTAATCAGCAGAGGACAGGAAGATGTCGCTGACACTCTGACTGAGACCCACATGCGAGCCACACTGGTAGCAGGGCCTCATGTTCTGGGAGACAGACTGTAACCTGGTCGTTTCTCACCATCTAACTTCTCCAATATCTTTAGGGAGACATCTTCACCCTCCTAAATCATGGGACAGTCTGTGGTCACCATTTCCAAAGTGCTCAGCCTTGTTCAATGAGTCATAAGGATTTCCATGAGGCGGTACTTGAGCTGTTCAAACTATTTTACTCTCTACTAGATGGACCTTTTTTTTTTTAGATGGAGTCTCACTCTGTCGCCCAGGCTGGAGTACAGTGGTGTGATCTCGGCTCACTGCAACCTCCACCTCCCGGGTTGAAGCGATTCTCCTGCCTCAGCCTCCAGCCTAGAATTACAGGTGTGCACCCCTGTGCCGGCCTCTAGATGCACCTTTAGAGATTATTTATACAGTGCTGCATTTTGTACCTTTCTCAGCAGAGCAATGGGGTGTGAGTTACAGAACTGGCTGCTGTCAGGGGTCCTGTAGACCACAGGCATCTGGGCCTCTGGAGGATGGCGTGAGCAGCCTCTCAGAATGCCAGCCTTCTTAGTCCTTGAGCAAATGCAAGCCAGGAAGGGCAGCTTCTGGAGAGCTGCACAAGGGGCCAATGTGGGAATAATCAGAACTGGGCATACTTTGTTCATATAACTTTAAAGCATAAAACTGGATCCGTTATTATGATCTATTTTTACTATTGTTAATAAAAGGGATTCTAGCTGCTGAAAATAGAAAAATTTCAAATGTGGCAAACCAGGGTTTGAATCCTGGCTCTGGCACTTACTAGCATAGACAAATTACTTCATCTTTTGATCCACAGTTTTCTTATCAACAGGATTGCTACAAGGATTAAATAACATAAAATTCACAAAAGCACTTGGCATCAAGTCTAGCACATGACAAGCACTCAGTAAATAGCAATAATTGTTGTTATAATTAATTCACTTCAGTGCACCTTTATGTGAGGGCCAGTACTCTTTCCTAGTAGTACCAAAGATGCTACTTGGTGTGCACTTTAGAGACTATTTCCATAGTGCTGCATTTACAATTTAATCCAGATTATTTCTGCTTGACACCTCCAGTAAAGGCACTATACTAAAGAAAACATACTTTTATCTACCACACAGCAGATGCCCAATAAAAATGTACTAATTCAAAGACTGTCTTATAAAAACTACATTCTATTTCTTCTTGATCTAAAATCCACCATTTTAACCATTTTAAAGTACAGATGTTCCTTGACTTATAATGGGGTTATGTCCTGATAAACTCATTGTAAATTGAAAATATCAAAGTGAAATATGCATTTAATACCCTGATAAACCTACTGCAAAGTTGAAAAATCATAAGTTGACTGTCCTAAGTTGGGGACTATCTATATATGAATCAGTGGTATTCAGTATATCCACAATGTTATACAATCATCATCCCTAATTCCAGAACATTTTTATCACCCTAAAAAGAAAATCCGTACCTATTAAGCAGTCACTCCATATTCTTCCCCTTCCCCCAGCCCTTGGCAACCCGGAATCTGGCTTCCATTTGTGTGGCTTTGCCTATTCTGGACATTTCATATAAATGAGATCATAAAATATGTAGCCCTTTGCATCTGGTTCTTTCATTTAGAATAATGGTTTCAAGGTTCATCCATGTTGTAGCATGCCTCAGTACTTTATTTATTTTTATGGTTGAATAATATTCCATCATATGGATATCCACTTTGTTTATCCATTCATCAGCTGATAGACATTTGGTTTGCTGCCGCTTTTTGGCTATTATGAATAATGTTGCTAGGAACATTGGTATGTATGTTTTTTGTGGAAACATGTTTTCAGTTCTCTCAGGTATATACCTAAGAATGGAATTGCTGGGTCATACAGTTACTCTCTGTTCACGTTTTGAGGAAATGCCAGACTGTTTACTTTTTTTTTTTGAGATGGAGTCTCGCTCTGTCGCCAGGCAGAGCGCTATCTCAGCTCACTGCAACCTCCACCTCCTGGGTTCAAGTGATTCTTGTGCCTCAGCCTCCCGAGTAGCTGGGATTACAGGCACGTGTGCCACCACAACCAGCTAATTTTTGTATTTTTAGTAGAGATGGGGTTTCACCATGTTGGCCAGGCTGGCCAGACTGTTTTCCAAAGCAGCTGCACCATTTTACATTCCCACCAGCAATGTATGAGGGTTCCAATTTCTCCATATATCTGTGGACACTCATTTTCCATTTTTTAATTGACACTGCATTCTATTTAAAGTCAAAAAACAGGTAGTAAACCCTCACACTACTCCTCTTTCCTCTCTAGCACCTCTCTAGTGGTTTCTTAGCAGTATGAATCCCAGCAAGTTATTTATCCTGTCCATGTCATGTGGCTGTCTTCTGTGAAATGAGAGTAATCACAATAACCCCTACTTCAGAAGGGTGCCAAGAGAACCGAATGTGATAATTTAGATAAGGCCTTCATGCATACTAGGTACTCAAGAAACATTTCCTTTGTTTTTTCACTTAAGAGTATACCAGGCATTCTGCAAGTTCAGAAAACTTACTCTCCTGAGTTACAGTGTTAAGGCAGAGAATCTTATAATAATGAACTCTAGAATAAAAGGTTAAATAGATGTGCAGTGGGTAGTTATTTGCCAACTAAGCATTAGCAAGATTCGTTAATCATTAGCCAAAGTTCAGTCTTTAGCCAAAACAAAGGTATCAAACTAAGCATTGGTCTGGACATAACAGGATGTATAGGAATCAACTGGCAGTCTCCAATGGGCACACTTAGCTAAAAAAACCAATTGACTGTAAGTTCTGTTCACTAATCCTGTCTTCCCACCCCAAATACAAACACACTTTAGATAATATCTAAGCTATAACATGTAAAAGGCTCAGTTATAAACCTTGGCTGGGTTTTATAGTCACCATATATATAGTGGCTGAATTGTGTCCCCTAGAAAGATAAGTTCGAGTCCTAACACCTGGTACCTGTGAATGTTATGTAACCGAGTTAAGATGAGGCTATACTAAATTAAGGTGGGCCCTAAATCCAATGATTGGTTCCTTTTAAGGAGACACACAGAGACATAGACACACAGACACACACAGAGGGAAGATGGCCATGTGAAAGAGAAGGCAGAGACTGGAGTGGTGCAGCCAACAAATGCCAAGGATCGCCGACAACCACCAGAAGTGAGGAGGGCTTCCCTGGAGACTTTGGAGAGAGCACAGCCCTGCTGACACCTCGATTTTGGATTTCTAGCCTCCAGAACTGTCAGAGAATGAATGTTTGTTGTTTTAAGCCACCCAGTTGGTGATAATCTGTTATGGCAGTCCTAGGAAACTAATAAACCATATGTCATTTTTGCTCAAAACTAGCCATGCTGCCTGGTTGAGATGCCAGTAGCGCACCTCCTCTAGCCTAAAGGCCAAAGACACCACAGACACTACAATATTTCTTGGTAATCTCGAGCCTTTTTTTTTTTTTGTCTGCCTCCACTATCTTTAAATCTGGTGCTGCACAGCGCTGTAATTATCATAAAGTTTCACTGCCACTGAGAGGATGCTGGTGGATTATGATGAGGAATCAGCTGGCTCAGTGGTTAGAACATGATGTTGGTGAGGTCAAGGCCCTGGATCCACTCCCATTCTGAACACACTCTGCCCCTGGCCAGTATCTCACAAATGCGGCAGTTTAGAGAGGAGGTGGGTCAGGGCAAACCCAATGCCAGGCCTGAAAAAACAACTTAGAGCTACGCTGTCTCCTCAGGTCTATCACAATAATATATAAATCCCAAATGCCTAAAAAAAAAACAGTCAAAAGGGTTTGGAAATTATATTAAAGCAAGAGTATAATAAAGCTGATACTGGATTGTTATATTAGTGTCTATGTAAAATTGGAAAGGTTATCATTTCTGGGTTGTCTAAGCATCACAGAATAGGCCACGTTGCTTCAAACCGTTTGGCATGACTGTAGCTAATCCCTTTTTAAGTGTCTGTTCTCTCTTCCAGAAGGCAGGGGCTGAGTCTTCATGCACTGTGCTGTATTCCCAGGGTCTAGTCACAAGTATTGTCTATTGCCAAGTGAATGAATGAATACATAGAAGGGAGGGAGGGTGGGCAGGCTTGTTGCTCTGGTCCAAGGGTTCCTGTGCCTTGGGCAGTGATGGGCACAGGGCATACTCACTATCAAAGAGGATGATCCTGCCATCGCCACCACAGGGTTGGGTGTGATCCCCGAAGCAGACGCTGTTGCATTCGGTACTGGCTGCCTCCCCGTACTTCCAGTAATCAGGATTGTTTCCACAGAAGCAAGCATAGCCTGACTCCATCCCAGCAAACTGCCACAACAGAGAAGCAGCACACGGTAAGCATCATCAGGGATGTCAGATGGCCTGAAGGAGCCTGGCAGGGTGGGCTTCCAGCAAGCAATCAGCCTCAACTTCCCAGGGTCCCTTCCCCTGGGACCTCCCCCTTCTTCCACTCTTGCAACACTTAATTTCAAGCTGAACAATAAGTACGCAACCACCAATGTGTTTCCCTGTCGGCGAGCATCACTTTTTAATGTTTGTGTTTCTACTGCACTTCAGTAAGTTTTAAGGGGGAGAAAATCTCATAAACTTCAAATGTGAGTAACAGCTAAACATTTTATTGACTGTTTACTATGAGCCAGGCAGTGAGTGCTTTATAGCTAACCCTCAAAGCAAACACATTATAGGCCCCATTTTACAATTTTGTTTTTACATTGCTATATAGTATTTTGGCATATAGTTCTATAAATTTTAACACTTGTATAGATTTGTGTAACCACAGCCGGGCATGGTGGCTTACGTCTGTAATCCCAGCACTTTGGGAGGCCGAGGCAGGTGGATCACTTGAGATCAGGAGTTAGAGACCAGTCTGGCCAACAAAGTGAAACCCCGTCTCTACTAAAAATACAAATATTAGCCAGGTGTGGTCGTGGGCACCTGTAATCCCAACTGCTTGGGAGGCTGAGGCAGGAGATTTGCTTGAACCCTGGAGGTGGATGTTGCAGTGAGCCGAGACTGCATCACTGCACTGCAGCCTGGGCAACACAGTGAGACTCTGTCTCAAAGAAAAAAAAAAAAAAGATTTGTGCAACCACCAGTACAATCAGGATTCAGAACAGCTCCATTACCCCAATAATTTTCTTTGCACTATTGCTTTATAGGCCCCCTCCCCCAGAAACCCTGGCAACCACTGACGCATTTTCCTTTACTGTAGTTTTGTCTTTTCGAAAATGTCACATAAATAGAATCATATAGTATGTAATCTTTTTGAGACTGGCTTCTTTCAGTCAGCATAATGTCTTTGAGAGTCATCCAAATTGGTGTTTGTATCAATAGTTTACTCCTTCTTATTGCTGAGCAGAGTTCATTGTATGGATGTATCACAGCTTGTTTATCTGTTGGGCTGTTTCTAGTTATTCATAATTATGAATAGAACTGCTATAAGCATTTGTGTACTGATTTTTATGTGAATATAAGTTTTCATGTCTCTAGGGTAATAACTAGGAATGGAATTACTAGGTCATATGGTAGATGTATATTTAACTTTATAAAAAAGTGCCAAACTTTTTCCAGAATGACTACCATTCTAGATCTGCACCAACAATATATGAAAGTCCCAGTTGCTCTGTATCCTTGTCAGCACTTGTTATTTTCAGTATATTTTATTTTAGCCATTTTAATAGGTATGTAGTGATATCTCATTTTAGTTTTAATTGGCATTACCTTAATGGCTAATGATGTCGACTATATCTTCTTTTTCTTTCTTTGTTTTCTTTTGTTTTTCAGATAGAGTCTCACTCTGTCATCCAGGTTGGAGTACAGTGGTATGATGTTGGCTCACCGCAACCTCCACCTCCCAGGTGCAAGCAATTGTCCTGTCTCAGCTTCCCGAGTAACTGGGACTACAGGTGTGCTACCACGCCCAGCTAATTTTTGTATTTTTAGTAGAGACAGGGTTTTGCCATGTTGGCCAGGCTGGTCTCAAACTCCTGACCTCAAGTGATCCTCCTGCCTTGGCCTCCCAAAGTGCTGGGATTACAGGCTTGAGCCACCACGCCCAGATGACTATCTTTTCATGTGCTTATTTGTCATCTGTATATCTTCTTTGGCTTCTTTTCATATGCTTATTTGCCATCTGTATATCTTCTGTTCAGGTCTTTTGCCCATTTTTAAATTGCTTTGTTCAGTTTTTTTAACTATTGAGTTGTTTGGCTTTTTTTTTTTTTAATTTTACACATTATGGATACAAGTCCTTTGTCACATATGTGATTTGCAAATATTTTCTCCCAGGCTATAGCTTGTCTTTTCATCCTGTTAAAAATATCTTTCACAGAGCAAGATCTTTACATTTTTATGAAGTCCAAATTAAAATGTACCAATTTTTTCTCATGATGGGTCGTGCTTTTGGTGCCTCATGTGAGAACTTTTTGCCTAAACTCAAGTCATGAAGATTTTCTCTTATATCGTCTTCTAGAAGTTTTATAATTTTACATTTTACAGTTAGATTTGGGATACATTTTGAGTTCAGTATGTAGTCTTGTGTTTAAGTTCTTTCAATTAGCCTACTGTTTTGGAGATTCATCCACGTTGTATATAACAGTATGTCTTTTTTTTTTTTTTTTTTTTTTTTTTGAGACAGAGTCTCGCCCTGTTGCCCAGGCTGGAGTGCAGTGGTGCGATCTCGGCTCACTACAGCAACCTCCGCCTCCTGTGTTCAAGCAATTCTCCCGCCTCAGCCTCCTGAGTAGCTGGGATTACAGGCACACACCACCATGCCCGGCTAATTTTTGTATTTTTAGTACAGACGGGGTTTCACCATGTTGGTCAGGCTGGTCTCCAACTCCTGACCTCGTGATCCACCCACCTTGGCCTCCCAAAGTGCTGGGATTATAGGCATGAGCCACCGTGCCCAGCCAGTAGGTCTTAATATGTCTCTTCGTTTTATTGCTGAGTGGTATTCCACAGTATGGATATACTGTACTTTATTTCTCCATTCATCAGTTAATGGACGTTTAGATTATTTACAGTTTGGAGCTATTATGAATAATGCTGCTATGAACATTCATATATAAGTCTTGATGTGAACACAGGTTTTCATTTATCTTGGGTAACTATCCAGGCGTGATATTGCTGAGTTTTAAGGTATGTGCATATTTAACTTTGAAAGAAACTTTAAGATCTTTCTTCAAAGAAGCTGTAGCATTTTACATTCCTACTAGCAGTCTATGAGAGTTCAGTTGCTCCACATCCTTATCAATTCTTAGTATTTTCAGTATTAACTTCAGACATCCTGAAGTGGTGTGCAGTGGTATCTCATTGTGGTTTTAATTTGTATTTCCCTGACAACTGGTGATGCTGAGCATCTTTTCATGTGTTTATTGGCCATCTATGTATTTTTGGGGGATAAAATGTCTCTTCAAATTTTTTGCTGATTTTTAAAATCAAGTTGTCATATTGTTGAGCTGTAAGTGTTCTTTATATATTCTGTATACAAGTCCTTTATCAGATATATATTTAACAACTACTTTCTCCTAGTCTGTGGTCTGCCTTTCATATTCTTAACTCTATTTTTTGAAGATAATATTTTAATATTGATAAGTTCAATTTACCAACTTTTTAAAATGATTTGTTTTTGTGTCCAATTTATAAATCTTTGTCTAACCCAATATTTTAGGATTTTCTGTTTATTTTTCTAGAAGTTTAGTTATTTTAGGTTTTTTAAAAACTGAAATGTAATTCACATAACATAACATTCACTGTTTCAGTGTATATTTCAGTGGTTATTGGTATAGTCACTGTGTTGTGCAGTCACTGCCATCTAATTCCAGAACATTCATAACCCAGAAAAGAAATTCTGTGTTGATTAGCAGTTAGTACCAATTCCTCCCGCTTCCCACCCTCTGGCAACCACTAACCTGCTTTCTATCCCTATGGATTTGCCTATTCTAGACAATTCATGTAAGTGGAATCATACAATATGTGGCCTTTTGTGTCTGGCTTATTTTACTTAGCACTTATTTTTAAGTTATCTCAGCAAAATGCATTTACATCTTTATATTTTTCTATAGTTACACAGCCACAGAGTCATCACCTTGAACCTCTGACTCCGACAAAAACTGATGCAAGTTTGTATGGTGAGTTTGTTGGACGTTTTACTGGTGCCAGTTAGAGGAGGTGGGTTTCCATGATCCTTGTAGCAGCCAAGGTTTCCAGGCACTAAAGAAAAAAGAAAAACAAAAGAATTTCGCAACATCTGGCTGTGAAACACCAAGAAGGAAAAGCGATTTGTGCCAGGTACTTTCATCTCAGCCAGTATTTCCACTCCTGAGGTACAAATAAACAACAAGCAACCAGCTTTGAAAATGGAAGCTTTAGTGTCCTCTGCTAAAAACCATGTTTTTGTTTTATTTTGAAGAGTATGTGAGACTAGGTCTACATTTAACTAACCGAATACGTATTTAAAAAAAAAAAAAACTGTTTAATATTGATAGGATTTAGTATTGAAGAAAACTAGGAACAATTTCCTAAAAACAGAAAGACTCCAATAATGTAAATTATGTTTCAGAGTTACCAGAGGGCAGGAAAAGCCCTCTCAGAAGCCCATTATCCTATACCTTCTATTTAAGCTCCTAATTCCTTCAAAGATTCCACAAGTGGGTTTCCTCAAGGACTTTTGGTGAATATATTAGTTCCTTATTGCTGCTGGGACAAATTACCACAAACCTAGTGGCTTTAAATAACATAAATTTATTATCTTTCAGTTCTGGAGGTCAGGAGTACTAAGTGGGGCTTATGGGTCTAAACTCAAGGTGTTAGTGGAGCCAAGTTCCTCCTAGAGGCTCAAGGGGAGAATCCATTCCTTGCCTTTTCAACCTCCTAGCAGCTGCCCATATGCCTTGGCTTGCAGCCGCACCATTTCACCCTCTGTTTCCGTCAGCACCTCTCCTTCCTCCGTTTCCTTCATCACTTCTCCTTTCTCCCTGTTTCCATCATCAACTCTCCCTCCTCCCTGTTTCCATCGTCACCTCTCCCTCCTCCGTTTCCATCATCACCTCTCCCTCCTCCGTTTCCTTTATCACCTCTCCTTCCTCCCTGTTTCCATCATCACGTCTCCCTCCTCCCTGTTTCCATCATCACCTCTCCCTCCTCCCTGTTTCCTTCATCACCTCTCCCTCCTCCCTGTTTCCATTATCACCTCTCCCTCCTCCATTTCCTTCATCACCTCTCCCTCCTCCCTGTTTCCATCATCACCTCTCCCTCCTCCCTGTTTCCATCATCACCTCTCCCTCCTCCATTTCCTTCATCACCTCTCCCTCCTCCCTGTTTCCTTCATCACCTCTCCCTCCTCCATTTCCTTCATCACCTCTCCCTCCTCCCTGTTTCCTTCATCACCTCTCCCTCCTCCATTTCCTTCATCACCTCTCCCTCCTCCCTGTTTCCATCATCACCTCTCCCTCCTCCATTTCCTTCATCACCTCTCCCTCCTCCATTTCCTTCATCACCTCTCCCTCCTCCCTGTTTCCATCATCACCTCTCCTTCCTCCCTCTGTTTCCTTCATCACCTCTTCTTCCTCCCTCTGTTTCCATTGTCACATCTGTCTTCTCTGACTCAGATCCTCCTGCCTCTCTAAGGACCCTGTGATTACATTGGTCTCACCTGGATAATCTATCACAAAATCTTTCATCATATCTGCAAAATCTCCTATGCCATCTAAGGTAACGTATTCACAGATTCTAGGGATTATATCATGAACATCTTTGGAGGGCCATTCTTCAGCCCACCACACTGAGCATATTAGTGTTTCACAGCCACACATCAGATGGTTTGGTCTAGTAGAAAAAGCTGTAGCTGAGAACAAAGAAAGCTAAATATATGTACCAACTCTGGTAGACAGCTTTCAAAGATGTACCTCAATGATTCTGCTATGCACTCAATGTTTGCATACCCCCGTGACACTTGGTCTCTGCCCTGGCACAGAGCAACTCTCCGGGAATTTTCTGGGTGACCAGAGCATCTTTTGTTCTAATGAGGCAACTCTTGGTAGGCTCCTGGATAGCTTCAGGATGGAGGGTGGTCACAAGAAAGATGAAGCCATGATTAAAAGCTTGGAACTTTCAGTCCCACACCCCCACATCCTCCAGGGAGAGGAGAGAGTCTAGAAATTGAGTTAATAATCAATCATGCCTATGTAATGAAGCCATCGTTAAAATTCCTAAAAGATGCCATTTGGAGAGCTTCTGGGTTGGTGAATAAATATCTGTGCCAGGTATGGCAAACTCCACAAGAACAGAAGCTCCTGTGTACAGGATCCTTCCTGACCTCACCCTATATATCTCTTCATCTGCAGTTCACCTATAGCCTTTTAATTTTATTTTTTTAACTATTGAATTGAGATGGGGTCTCACTATGTTGCTCAGGCTGGTTTTGAACTCCTAGGCTCAAGCGATCCTCCTGCCTCAGCCTCCCAAAGTGCTGGGATTACAGGTGTGAGCCACCATGCTTAGCCACACCTATATCCTTTATAATAAACTGGTAAGTGTGTTTCCCTGAGTTCTGTGAGCTGTTATAGCAAATTAGCAAACCAGAGGAGAGGGTTGTGGGAAACCCCAATTTGTAGCCAAGTTGGGACCCACTCCTTGTAATTGGCATCTGAAGTGGGGGGCAGTCTTGTGGGACTGAGTTAGGTAGTGCCATAACTTAATTGTAGGACCCCCAGGTGGTGTCTGGAAACTTGGAGAATTGGCTGGTTTGAGACAAATCCCTATATCTGGTGTTAGAAGAGAAGTGTATGAATGTATGGGAAAAGGTTTTTTCCCCCTATTACTCCCTAAAATTAATATATTGAAGCCTGAATTCCCAATATGAAGGTATCTGGAGGTGAGGCCTTTGGGAGGTAATTAGGTTTAGATGAGATTATGATGGCTGAGCCCCCATGATGGAATCACTGCCCTTATATGAGGAAGAGACCAGAGCCCCCTCTCTCTCTGCAGCAAGAAGGTAGCCCTCAGCAAACTAGGAAGAGAGGCCTCACCAGGCACTGAGTCACCAGCACCTTGACCCTGGACTTCCTAGCCCCTTGAACTATGAGAAATAAATGTCTGTTGTTTAAGCCACCCACTCTATGGTATTTTGTTACAGCAGCCCAAACTGCCTAAGACAGATCCCCCCTTCCTGGTATTCATGCCCTTGTATAATCTCCTCCCCCTGAGTGTGAGCTGGACTGCTGACATGCTTTTGACAAGTAGAATGTGGCAAACTTGATGGGATGTCACTTCTGGGATTAGGTTACAAAAGATTATGACTTCATCTTGCTTGCAGACTCTCTATTGTTTTCTCGCTTTGCATATTTCTGTGAAGCAATAATGAAGCAATATGCCATGTCAGAGGCTGTGTGGTAAGGAACTGAGGGTGGACTTCAGCCAACATCCCACAAGAAAAAGAATTTCACCCAATGGTCCACAATTAACTAAATCCTACCAACAACTACGTGAGGTTGAAAGTAGATCTTTCCTCAGTTGAGCCTTCAGATGAGACTCCAGCTCTGGTAGACACCTGGCTTGCAGCTTTGTGAGACGCCTTGAAGCAGGATATTGCGAAGTCATACCCCACATTTCCTGACCCGCAGAATGCATGAGATAATGAATGTGTGTTGTTTTAAGCCACCAAGTTTTGAGGTAATTTGTTAGGCAGCAATAGATAATATACCTTATAATACTAAATATAGCTTTATTGAATAAAGAAATTAATTCATCATGGGTCATGGACGATGAATCTCTGTGGACCTTAGTTTTCCATCTATGTTATCGATTTATGAATCACTCCACTATCAGCTGAAGTCCTTTCCCTTTCTCCATTTGTTCCTCATGGTTTATATAACTGAAGATATAACAAAACACAAATGAGGCCTGGTCTCAGAAGCACTTCTAGGTCAGCTGAGAGTTATGTATTATACAATTCCAAAGTGACAGGCATATAGACTCTTAGATAGCATTTTTTTTTTTTTTGGAGACGGAGTCTTGCTCTGTTGCCCAGGCTGGAGTGCAGTGGTGCCATCTTGGCTCACTGCAAGCTCCGCCTCCCGGGTTCACGCCATTCTCCTGCCTCAGCCTCCCAAGTAGCTGGGACTATAGGCGCCCGCCACCACGCCCGGCTAATTTTTTGTATTTTTAGTACAGACAGGGTTTCACCATGTTAGCCAGGATGGTCTCGATCTCCTGACCTTGCGATCCGCCCACCTTGGCCTCCCAAAGTGCTGGGATTACAGGCGTGAGCTACTGCGCCCGGTCCAATAGCATTTTTTTCCTTTATGTTTCAGACTGGAAAACAGCATGGTCCAGTTTAATAAGCTTTATATCCACATTAGTCTTTTGGGCATATAAAAATATATTCATGTGTATGTGCGCATGTACACACACACACACAGACACACACACGTTTTAATGTATTCCACCATCTAACCAGCTCATTTTAAATTGGCAGGAAGTACCTCTGTTAACCCAAAGACTCACCCTTCCCCCTCTAAGCCAAGTGGTTACCTTTCTCCCTTGCGTCACACATGGTTCAAATATAACAAATGTGGCTCACCACACAAAAGTTAAAATGCATCCTTCGGAAACAAACTAAATCTCTATAGTAGCAAATGTAAACAGAAAAGCTCTATGCAGTAGGAGTCCAGTGTTGGGGGTGGAGGGGCCTGGCTTGGAAATGTCTGGGTTTTAGGGTTTAAACAACTGCAGTGAGTCAAGCTTCTCTGGTCAAGAGCATATGATATAAACTGAGTTTGTTAAAGGACCTTGTGCGTGGAAACCTGAGCCAGGCATTTAATGGTTGTTAATAAGAGCTACTTGATGATGATCATCTTGGTCATTTACTCTGATTTTTCTCTCATTTATTCCATTATGCTTACAAGTAAGCATGTTATTATGTATTAGTTTACAGAAAGCCTAAGGCATATAATCATAAATGTTAAGGTTAGACATAAACATGGCCATGGCTTGCATTAACACAGCTGGAACCTCTAAGCTTTATTAATTTGTTGAGCAAATCCAGGTGGTTCATGTTTCAATAGGACAGTGAGGTCTTGAAACACACCATGAGGTAGATCACTGGGAATCAGACCACAGCCTGCTGCCCTTCTAACCCATTTGAACATCAGTGGCCTAAGGTATCAAACTTGCCCCCAAAGGCAATCACTTGCCAATTGTGACACTGTCAATTCTACCTCCTACAATATCACATACATCTGCCCTTGCCTCTCTGTCCACGCTGCCACTTCCCCAGTTTTGGTCACCATCTCCTTTCACTTAGACCACTGCATCAGCCTCCTATTCTATCTCCATTTCTAGGCTTACCCTACTCTAATCTAGTTAGCAAACTGCAACCAGAATAATCTTTGCAGTACATTCCAGACAGAAGTGCAAAGGCCTGAAGCAAGAAAGATTGTGGCCTTGGCAGGAACTACAAGAAGTGAGCGTGACTGGTAGCAGAGAAAGGGAAAAGCAGCAGCAGCTGGTGAGGTAAATGGAGCCCTTCCCCAAACCCTCAAAGCTCTCTGGTTGCCCCCCAGGATAAAGTCCAAACTTTCTCACATGGTACACTGCTGCTGCTCCTGTGCTGCTCCCCCTTCCCCTCTCCCACCACCATGACCTGTCTACCCTTCAGCTCACATTCTATACAGAGACCAAATTGTAGTGTATTTGCAAGTTTCCCAACTGGACTTTGCTCTCTGGCCTCCGGGTTTTTGCACATGCTATTCCCTGTGCTTAGAATATTATTCCCTTCTTAAGATTTCAGCCTGAACATCATTTCCCCTGGGAAGCCCCATGGCCCTCCCATCCTCCCCACCCTATCCCCCACAAGAAAGAGGGTTATGTGTCCCTGCTGTGTAGTCCTACAGCAGTCTATGCTGAGTTTGATTCTGAACACCTGTTTACTTGTCTCTCTACCTGATTAACTATGAGCAACTAAAGGGCAGGACTATATCTTCCACACACCCCTGTATTCCCAGGGCCTGGAGTGGTCCCGGTCACAAAGCAGGTGCTCTAGGACTATATGCTGAATGAACAAGCACTTCCTGTGTCACCCACTGAAATCATGGAATGAGTGGATAATGGTACTTCTGGTTTTTTTTTTTTTTATTTCCATAGGTTCTTGGGGAACAGGTGGTGTTTGGTTACATGAGTAAGTTCTTTAGTTTGATTTGTGAGATTTTGGTGCACCCATCACCTGAGCAGTATACACTGCACTCAATTTGTAGTCTTTTATCCCTCACCCCGTTCCCACCTTTTCCCCCTGAGTCCTCAAAGTCCACTGTGTCATTCTTACGCCTTTGCATCTTCATAGCTTAGCTCCCACTTATGAGTGAGAACATACAATGTTTGGTTTTCCATTCCTGAGTTCCTTCACACTTGGAATATAATCTCCAATCCCATCCAGGTTGCTGCGAATGCCATTAGAGTGGATAAAGGTACTTCTTGGGCAGAGTGAATGAATAAGGTAGAGTGAAAGTGGAAAGCAGACTCAACCACTTAACGACATCCACTTAAAGCTAGGAACAGTTGGTTTTGACTCCTTTCTTCTCACTGTCTTCTTTGGCTATGTAGGAACATCATTCTAGATAATTGAGTTTTCCATAAAGCTTAACTTTAAAACTTAACATTTTATCTTAATCATTTTGGATGAAACCTTTCTAACATGCATTAGATCTTTCTTAAACAAATTTAACAAATTTAGCCTACTCTTTAAATATTTCTTGGTAACTTGAGGTCATCAAATATACTTCAAAATGGCCCCAGACTGGTGTGCTTTTTTATGTTCTAGTATCTGACTTTAATAGTTAATTTGTCTTTTGGTTGCTGTCTCAGTCCACGCAGACTGCTATAACAAAATACCATAGGCTGGTGGCTTAAACAATGGACATGGTTCTGGAGGCTAAGAAGTCTAAGGTCAAGGTACTGGCAGTTTCAGTTCCTGATGAGGGCCCTCTTCCTGGCTTTCAGACCAAAACCTTCTTGCTGTGTCCGCACATGGCAGAGGGAGATGTAGCTCTGATTTCTCTTCCGCTCCTTTTTTTTTTTTTTTTTTTTGACACGGAGTTTCACTCTTGTTGCACAGGCTGGAGTACAATGGTGTGATCTTGGTTCACTGCAACCTCCACCCACTGGGTTCAAGTGATTCTCCTGCCTCAGCCTCCCGAGTAGCTGGGGTTACAGGTGCCCGCCACCATGCCTAGCTAATTTTTTTGTATTTTTAGTAGAGATGGGGTTTCACCATGTTGGCCAGGCTGGTCTCGAACTCCTGACCTCAGGTGATCCACCTGCCTCAGCCTCCCAAAGTACTGGGATTACAGGCATGAGCCACTGCACCCAGCCCTCTTCCTCTCCTTATGGGGACACTAATCCCATCCTGGGAGTCCCACTCTCATGACCTCATCTAAGCCTAATTACCTCCCCAAGGGCCTCATCTCCAAATACCATCACATTGCAGGGTTAGGGCTTCAACATAAGAATGGTGGGGGTGGGTGGGGGACAAACATTCAGTCTAAAACAGTTGCTGTCAAGGCTGCTGCAACCTCAGAACATTAGAACTGAAAGGGGTCTTTGTGGGCATCTACTTCTTATTACTGTCAATGCCTGCAGTCTTTGCTTAACCTCTTCTTAATTTGCTGCTTCCTAGGCTTAGAACAAAAGTGTGGAGCTTATAAGAACCGTATGAAAAACAGAACATGCAGCTTCTATAAGAGGGAGGGCCATTATGCTCCTCACTTTCTGCCATCCACACTGTGGCTCAGGAGTGGGTTTTGCTTGCTCCCTTCCTAGGACTTGATAATGTTCTGAAGGGCACTGGTGCCACCACCATGTGTCCAGGAGCAGGTGGCCTTTTACAGTGAGACAAACCCTAGGGTAAATTCTGGCCTCTCCATCACAGCCCTTCTCAGCTCAGTTTCATCAACAGCGGAATGAGAATCAATACGGACCTCAAAGGGTTCTTGTGAGAAATAAAATGAGATAATGTAAATAAAGTAAATACCACAAGGCCTAGCAGAATAGAATGTGCTGAATAAATAGTGTTTGTCATCATTATATACAATAAGGCTTTCATCATTCACCACACAAACAAGAACAACTTGCTGAATAACAGAAAAATAAAATAGGCTGATTTAAAAGACAAAAATCAAAGGCAGCCACCTCAGAAAACGGTTTGATTCCGGATATTAAAATATTAATCTCTTACATCTGTATAGCATACAGCACATTTTCACATAAGTCAGCTCACAGGAAGCTCTAGCCCCTTCAGGGAGGCAGGACAGATGATATTATTCCTACTGGACAAAGAAGAAACCAGTCTAACAAGGTTAAAGGCCTTGTGTGGGCACACATAAGGCAGAATGGAGAGCCAGGGTAAGCTCCAGGATTGCCGACTCCCATTCCATGGGTTTTTGTTTTTGTTTTTCATGTCTCTGACCCCTTTTCTTATAGGACCAGTCTGGGCAACTAAATGAAAGTGACTCCCTGAGACCTGAGATTCAAGACTGAATTCTCAAACACATTAGTCCCTCAACACTCTGTTCACCACGAGGGAAGCCTCTGCGGTCCCAGTCAGCCTCTGAGGGGGCCACTGCCTCTGACTTGTCCTGGAAAGTGTGGCTCGAAGTCTAGTCGGAGAAGACACGTCATGTTGCTTCAAAAGCATTACTACTCAACTGAGTGGATTTCTAGATCGTGTCCCACCCTTAGCGCTTCCCAGAAGCAGGGAGGAAAAGCCAATTTGAAAAAGGATATTTGTCTTCAAATTCCTTTTTCATTTCAAGCTTACTTTGAAATCCTTGTGGCTTGGTCATGCATTTTTCCTCTTACCAAAGAGGCTTCATCACTTTCAATTTTTAAAAAATTATCTTAACATACAAATGGACCCCTTGTTTATCTTAGCTGAGGCTTCAAAACTTGTGAAAATTAATTACAAATATTCAGATGTTGAAGATAAAAATTTTGGAGGAGTTAAAGAGAGAAGGTCCTCCATTCACATTAACCCAGGAACTATTGTTCTTTTACTATCATAAGAAACAACTGGGAAGCAATCAGGCAGGCCCACTAAACATTGTTACATTTGAATATAACTGTGGCTTCATTGTGAAGGTACTGCACACACCTCCATGGGGGCCTCCATGGCTGACAGCTGTTCTTTGAGAACCACCTATTACCCACAGCACCTTCTCAGAGCATCTGCTCCCATAACTACTGCTGGCTGGGGACAAGACAAAGGGCTCCATCCTCTGGCCACAGCTGCCTCACACTGGGGCCACCAGATTCTCTTTCTTAGGAAGCTGGAATTGGGATCCGCTCAGTGAATGCAAGCACTGAAATTGTAGGGATTTGTCAAGTAGGAGTTGAGGCAACCAAACTCAAGTTTGAGCCACGTGAGTGGATGAATGAGCCAATTCTGCTGGTCCACGAAGAGGAAGAAGGATGGATAACAAGCTGAGAGAGAGGCAGAGAAGGGAGATGAAGTGGCCACAGAGACAGATAGTGAAAGTCCCTGCTTTCTTTCTAGTTTCTTGGGATACAGGGTTTGGGTTCTGTGATACATCCCAATGGTCTTCAAATTGATTTCTTTTGCTCAAGTTAGCTTGAATGAGTTCTAGTCCTGGTAACCAAATCATTATCGAAGACAGAAGGCACGGCCATCATAGTAAAGGCTCAGTTTGAATCTAAATCTTCAGCTGGTAATTCACTAAGAAGCAGCCCTGACTATTATTATGTTTTCTATTCCACTGCTCTCACCAGATCTGGGATATTTGCTTTAAGAAACCAGATGCTAAGTTCTTGTCCTATGTCTTAAAAAACTAAAAAACTCTTTCCAAGGCTCTGCAGAGCTCCTTTTTTTTTTTTCCTAAGTAAAATCTGCTTCTTCAGAAATGATGTAACTCCTCTGCTAATTTTTTTTTTTTTTTTTTTTTTTTGAGACGGAGTCTCGCTCTGTCGCCCAGGCTGGAGTGCAGTGGCGCGATCTCAGCTCACTGCAAGCTCTGCCTCCCGGGTTCACGCCATTCTCCTGCCTCAGCCTCCCGCGTAGCTGGGACTACAGGCGCCCGCCACCACGCCCGGCTAATTTTTTGTATTTTTTTAGTAGAGACGGGGTTTCACTGTGTTAGCCAGGATGGTCTCGATCTCCTGACCTCATGATCCGCCCGCCTCGGCCTCCCAAAGTGCTGGGATTACAGGCGTGAGCCACCGCACCCGGCCTAATTTTTTTTTTTTTTTTTAATAGAGACAGGGTCTCACTCTGTTGCCCAGGCTGGAGTGCAGTGATACAATCATACTCACTGCAGTCTTGAACTCCTGAGCTCAAGTGATCTTCCCATCTCAGCCTCCCGAGTAGCTGGGACTACCAGTGTGTACTACCATGGCTGGCTAATTATTTGTGTATCTTGTAGAGATGGGGTCTCACTATGTTGCCCAGGCTTGTCTCAAACTTGTGGCCTCCAGTGATCCTCCTGCCTCAGCCTCCCAAAGTGCTTCTCTGCTGATTTTAAATGTCATTTAACTCTGTGTCAATACTATCTTCTGCCTCAAGGACCCCACACTGGTGCCTCAGTAGCTGATTTCTCCCCTCCATGGAAAGAAAAACTATGTACATCTGAGACGCTGCAGCTGGTATCCTACTTCTTTCAGAGCATCAACAGGTTAAGTGTGGATTCATCCACACCCTCAGACCCGTGACCGTAAGCTCACTGCACCCTGTGCTGTTCATCTGCAACTTCCGTTCCAAATCTGACAGCTGCCATCTTGGTCCAACCCCTTCTCATGATATGGCCCCACACTACCTCTGTAACTTTATTTCTAAACATAAACTTCCTTTTCAGTCACTCTGATTCTTCCAACAGTCTTAATTGTGCCCCCGAGTCTTACAGCAACACCCCCAAATAAATAAGTAAGCACAGCTTTTTCTTCCTCTGTGGAATTCTGCCCTTAGGGGGAGGTAGTAAGAGTTCCTAAAAATCCTGATCCCATAAGGCCAGGATCTATCACAGCAGTAGTTCCCTCCTGGTGGGAGTTCCTTCTCTGAAACTTAGTTTCTGGTGAGTTAATGTGATAAAGAGTCAAAAGAGGCTCTAGTAATTTCTCCCCTCCCTGTACATGTGTGTTGCTCCCACTTTAATAGATTTCCCCACTTCTTAAATCGGGCCTTGCCACTTGCTTTGATCCATAGAATGTGGTGGACTTCTTCTGAGTTCATGCCTTAAGAGGAATGGCAGCTTCTGCTGCTTCTCTCTTGGAAGCCAGCCACCGTATAAGAAGTCTGAATACCCTGCTGTTGAGAGAAGTCACTGGATAGAGGTCTGAAGCCACCTTGAATGCCAGCAGAGCTCCCAGTTGAATGCAGGCACCTCACTAAGCCCAGGTGACAGCAGCAGAAGAACCACTCAGCTGAAACTCAGTCGACCCAGAGAACTGGGAGAAATGATAAACTGTTGGCGCTTAAGTCACTGCGGCTGGGGATGGCTCATTACACAGCAATAAACAACTAGTACACATTACTTGGTAAAAGGTCAGTCCAAGTTCAAGAGGAATGATAACTGCTGTGTCCCTGGGAAGAAAAGCTCGTTTGTTGACTTGGACTTTTTTTTTCAGGGACACCACAAATATCCCAGGCAAGGAACCTCTTCCTGCTGTTTTATCCCTTACATATTCCACTTGTCAACAAGTTCTGTCTTCTTCCTAAGTGCATCTTGGACTTAATCCTTCCTGTCTTGTCTCACTGCTGCCATGATAGCCCAGGCCCTTATCCCTTGAGTTTAGAAATCTACACGCATCCTCTCTTCCCCAAACTTTCTTCCTTTGATCCGTCCTGTAAATGACACTGGACTTGCTTCTCTTCCTAAACTAGGGCTTTCAGCATATCAGTCCCATCTAATTAACTCTTGCTTTCCAGGTCTGACCTGGTTCCTTTTTGTCCACTCCTCTACTCAGGAAGCCTGGATCCCAACCCACACACTCATCAATTCTGTGCTTCCTCCAAGCCTCTGTCCTGCTGTTCCCTGACCCATTCAGCCACCAGCCACCTTTCTTCCAATTTCCACAATCTTTACTGAGTCCTCTTGTCTTCAGAAACTCACAACACTCTACCTCATAATTCAACACTTATTTATATGATTGGTGTGCTGGTCTGCAATTTTCTCTTAGGTTTATAACTCAGATTCCCAATTACATCATAAGATTGAGGGGCTATTTCTTCCTTATAGGCAAGTGCTGGTATAAAGATTTTCAGTAAAGTCATCCCTATCAATTTGAATGAGTTTTCCTTTTTAAGTCCCTAGTGTGCTTTACACAACTGTGCTTTAGAACATTTGTATCTGTGACTGAACTGATATCCATTTGGTTCAGAAAGTCTGTATTTTTTTAATGGAAAATTAAATAATACCCACTGGCAAAAACCAAAAAATAATTGAGTACATAAAACCTCATTGTAGGAACAAACATGGGAGCCAGGCAGAGTGGCTCACACCTGGAATCCTAGTACTTTGGGAGGCCGAGGTGGGAGGATTGCTTGAGCCCAGGAGTTTGAGACCAGCCTGGGCAACATAGCAAGACTCCATCTCTACAAAAAGTAAAAATATTTGCCAGGCATAGTAGTGTGCGCCTGTTGTCCCAGCTACTTGGGACACTGAGGTGGGAGGATCACTTGAGTCTGGGAGGTCAAGGCTGCAGTGATCCATGATCGTGCCACTGCACTCCAGCCTGGGCAACAGAGCAAGACCCTGTCACAAACAAACAACAAACAAACGTGGGGCCTCTTGTGTTCACCGAGTTCAGTGCTGCAACAGGCCACAGGGAGCAGCCACTGCAGCAGCTGATGCCTGCTCCTAAGACCCATGGTCAGTTAGATAAAAAAGAGATGGGCAGAAATAAAATGCAGGTTATGAATAACATATTCTAGGAATTAGATGACAGGGACATACTAACGGTAGTCCATTCCCTGGGGAGAGCATACCATCACAATACCTGTTGGTACTTTCATGTCTACCTGATATGTGCTAGGACTTAGGGCAGCATGCATTTTATTCATTTAATCTTCAAAAAAAACTCTGGAAGGCACCAATGAGGAAACCCAGGCACAACTGAGAGTCATTGTGCCTAAAGCTATTAAGCAGATAATGATTCAAACCTAACTGGGTGTGACTCAGATGTCCACATTCTTTCCATCTTTCCACCAGCTTGTGTTGTCTCTTATGGGAAGAGAGGAAGAGATAAGACTTCATGGCATCAAGAAAGAATTTTGTCTTTTGAGACAGGGTTTCACTCTCATCGCCCAGACTAAAGTGCAATGGCGCAATCTAGGCTTACCGCAACCTCCGCCTCCTGGGTTCAAGCGATTCTCCTGCCTTAGCCTCCCAAGTAGCTGGACTACAGGCTACATGCCCATCACACCTGGCTAATTTTTGTATTTTTGGTAGAGACAGGGTTTCACCACATTGCCCAGGCTGGCGTTGAACTCGTGGGCTCAAGCGATCTGCCCATCTTGGCCTCCCAAAGTGTTGGGATTACAGGCATGAGCCACCACACCCAGCCAAGAAAGAATACTTAGCAAGCACTTTTACACTCTCCACTGTGCTAGGTGTGGGGAAGATTGTTGAAATATATGGCTTTTTTCAGTGGCTACCAAGGAGAGGCTTAAAGAGGTAAAGCCTCCATAAATTCCATCAGCACTCTTCCACAAATAAAAGTACAATCAAGTAAAACAAGGGTGCCTGTGATGCGAGCTCAGCCTCAACCTCCTGAGCTCAAGCAATCCTCCTGAGTAGCTGGGACCATAGGCACATGCTACCATACCTGGTGAATTTTTAAGTTTTCTGTAAAGACAGGGTCTCCCTATGTTGCCCAGGCTAGTCTTGAACTCCTTGGCTCTAGCGATCCTCCCACCTTGGTCTCCCAAAGTGCTGGGATTATAAGCATGAGCCACCTCACCTGGCCTATTAATGTTCATTTCAATATTGCTTTGGCTATCAACAAAAGTTGGAATTTTCACTTTAGCTGTAAAGTATAAATGGTACACAGCCAAGTGTGGTGGCTCATGCCTGTAATCCCAGCACTTTGGGAAGCCGAGGCAGGCGAATCACAAGGTCAGGAGTTTGAGACCAGCCTGGCCAACATGGTGAACCCCGTCTCTACTAAAAATACAAAAATTAGCTGGGCACGGTTGTGGGCACCTGTAATCCAGCTACTTGGGAGGCTGAGGCAGGAGAATCTCTTGAAACCAGAAGGCAGAGGTTGCAGTGAGCTGAGATCACACCACTGCACTCCAGCCTGGGCAACAAGAGCAAAACTCTGTCTCAAAAAAAAAAAAAAAAAAAAAAGTATAAATGGTACACGGGGATGTGTCATTTCAGAGAAGGTGAATTTCAGCCCACAGCAGTGAAGACATGGTATTGGGGGAGAACCTAAGGCCCAGACAAAGCTGCTGACGAACTGTTTTGTGCAGTGGGTCCAACCCCAGGGGAGCCCTTTCCTCGCTGAGAACAGCTGGTCTGGGGACACCCACAGAGATAGCCCAGCATACTGCAGAGTGGCTCTGTTGGGCAGCAAATGCTTCCCAGATCCCATCTCAGCCTGCTTTACTCCTGGGGCTTAGGATTTCCCAAAGCCAAAGAAGAAAATAAAATGACTTAGAGCTAACAGCATGAACTGCAGACCCTCTGTCGCCACTGAGTTAACCCTTTGGTTTCCACAATGTCACAAAAGCAATCTTAATAATTCACCATACTATCAGAATTTCAAACTTTAATTCCCAAACAATTCACAAAGAAAATTCTGAAGAATGACCTCAACAGTAGCCGGAATCCATCCCAGAGCCCCTGTTTTCAAGGAAATAAAGGAAATGGGACTGTTCTCAAGTGCTAGAAGGAAAAGGCACTGGTCTAGCTATCAGGAGTCCTGGTCAAAAATCCTGTTTGACTCAGACTGTAATCCTCATCAAATCACTTAACTATCTGGGCTCAATTTTCTTATCTGAGAAATGGAGGCGGGAGAGTAGACATGCCACCTGCTTCATAGGATTGTTGAAAACGTTAAATAAGATAATGTGTTGGGAGGCCGAGGCGGGCGGATCACGAGGTCAGGAGATTGAGACCATCCTGGCTAACAAGGTGAAACCCCGTCTCTATTAAAAATACAAAAAAAAAAAAAAATTAGCTGGGCGTGATGGCGGGCGCCTGGAGTCCCAGCTACTCAGAAGGCTGAGGCAGGAGAATGGCGTGAACCCGGGAGGCGGAGCTTGCAGTCAGCCAAGATCACACCACTGCACTCCAGCCTGGGTGACAGAGTGAGACTCTGTCTCAAAAAGAAAAAAAAAAAAAAGATAATGTGAATATAAGTGCTTTTTGTACATAGTAGGTACTCAGCAATAGCTGAAACATACTAGAAAGCAGTGCTGACATTAAAACACAGAAAGTGCTGACAGAAACAAAACATTTTCTATAATTGAGAAACTGCCTTGACCACCACTGCCACAGTGCCCTTGGCTTTTTACACATACTCTAAACACAGTTTTAAAAACCCTTATCAGGGATAATGGGAACCTTTCACATCCTATTTTTTGGGCTGACTTTTGTAAGGCAAATACTAACATCTGAAATCTATTTTAAATCTATTTTTAACAAGTCCAGGTATTATTTAGTTAAAAGAAACCTGAGCTGGTGAGGTCACCAGCTGAGATGGACCTAAGGTTCCACACGTATTGCAGAAGTGCAACTGCTGGCATCCTCTTAGGGCTGATGTGTGTGAATGATACAATCACTAGAGAACTTCTCATAGGTTAAAAGTGGGAAATCTTGACCCAAATCCCTAATACAGAGGCTCAACGAACTATGGAGAAATGCCTCCCTCAGACACTCAGCCCTCACCTCAGCTTCATCATCATCTTCCTGGATCAGGTCCAGGCTTCATACCCAGACCATAAGACCTGACATCATCTAGCCCTGTGTACTTCTCAGACCTCATCTCCTGCCCCTTTCTTCTTAAAATTTATGTTTCAGCAACACCAACTTGCTTGGAATTCATCAGAGTGTGTGTGTGTGTGTGTGTGTGTGTGTGTGTGTATGTGTGTGTGTGTGCGCACACGCACGCTCATGCACATGCAGGGGCACAAACTGTTCCCTTTGCCTCCAATGCCCTTACTACCCCAACCCACCCAGCCCTAACATCTAGAACCTTGCTACTTAAAGTGTAGTCCTGCAGCTCTGGCATCCCAGAACCTTGTTAAAAATGTAACGGGTCTGTTCTAGACATACTGATAAGAATCTGTATTTTAATAAGATCCCAGGTGACTGGATGTACTTTAAAGTAGAGAAGCCCTAAACAAGACCCCACTCTTTCCAGAAGCCCTCTTCAACAGACAGTAGCCCCTGCCTCCCTACCATGCCAGACAGATGGCCCTCCTGGGTGCTCCGAACCTTTTGCTCACCTCACTTATTATAGAGTATCTCGCATATGCTTATCTGTTCATTTGTCTGTCTTCTGTCCCAGACTGAGGATTCCCCACAGGCTGCAGAACATACTATCCTTGTGTCCCCCGTTTTGTACAAGGTCTGACAGATGGTCAGAGCTTAAGAAATGTCATTTGACACAACTAATAACTTCTAAATATGTCTAAGTTATTGTGATTTTATTTTATTTATTTTTTTGAAATGGAGTCTTGCTCTGTCGCCCAGGCTGCAGTGCAATGGCGCCATCTCAGCTCACTGCAACCGCTGCTTCCCAGGTTCAAGTGATTCTCCTACCTCAGCCTCCCGAATAGGTGGGACTACAGATGTGCACCACCACGCCCAGTTTATTTTTGTATTTTTAGTAGAGATGTTGGCCAGGCTGGTCTTGAACTCCTGACCTCAGGTGATCCGCCCACCTTGGCCTCCCAAAGTGCTGGGATTACAGGCGTGAGCCACTGCGCCCAGCCAAGTTCTTGTGATTTTAAACTTTATTTACTAACTTTAACCTCAATAACTAATAGTTCTAATAACTTTAAATAACTAATAGTTTTAGCAAGTTTAATAACTAAAACTTTAATAACTAACTTTAACAATGACATCAGATACCTGTGGGCTATGTGTAAAATTATTACAATTGGCTGGGTGTGGTGGCTTATGCCTGCAATCCCAGCAATTTGGGAGGCCAAGGCAGGAGGATTGCTGAGCCCAGGAGTATGAGACCGGCTAGGGGAACATGGCAAAACCCTGTCTCTACAAAAAATACAAAAATCATCCAGGTGTGATGGCATGTGCCTGTAGGCCCAGCTACTCAGGAGGCTGAGGTGGGAAGACTGTTTGAGCCTAGAGGTAGAGGCTGCAATGAGCCAAAATTTCGCCACTGCACTCCAACATGTGTGACAGGGCAAGACTCTGTCTCAAAAAAAAAAAAAAAAAATTACAATTTAGGTTAATCATGTTACATATTTGAATCTAGATACTCAGAATGCTGTGTTTATTTACTCTTTATATTTAAAATATTATAAAAATAATTTTAAATTTTTATTATTCAAAGTTGCAAACATACACAAAAGTGGGAAAGAATAATGAACCCATCACCCAGCATCAACAAATAATCCACTTTTTTTTAAACCATTCTTGTTTCATCTATTTCCCTTACCCCTACCTAGTCACTGTTTGGGGGGCTGGATTGTTTTAAAACAAATCCCAAATATTATGTCATTTCAACCACAAATATTTCAGTATCTGTAATTTTAAAGGACTTCACCACCACGCCATTATTGTAGCTAATAAAATTGACAGTAATTCCTTAATATAATCTAATACTCAGTCTGTATTCAAATGTCCCTATTTCAAAGATGAATTTTTATAGCTGGGTTTGTAGAAATTGGGGGAATGTTTTTCAGCAAACAAAAAATAGCTCTCAATAGTCAAACCAACAGGCCTTAGAGATCTAAAGCGTGGGATCTAGAGACATGTTAAACCCGAAGACGTTGGAATTTGCTTTTGAAGTCTGCATTTCTCCTGGCTGCAATAAGAACTTAGGGTTTCTGAGAAACATTCTGGCAAAAGCAGTTTCAGGGGCAAATCCAATTACCTCCGAGTTGTTCTTTTAACAGTAAGTTCTGATCCATGCTCTGCAGGTCAAGAGCAGTTCAGATTTCCCTCTGCTCCCATTTGAGTTGTACTTCAGGTCTGCCTCCTGCTTGTTGTAGCTCTACACATAACACACCAAGGGGCAGAGATCTGGTTTCCACACAATGGCCCACCATTCAGCCAGATTCTGCTTTGTCCCTAAACATTCATTCCCCCTGGCTCCTGCTGGGTCTGTTATATTCAGATATGAACTTTCCAGGAATCTGATCATGTCACAGGACTTTTTCTGTATGACAAGTTCAATACTAATCATGAATAGCAGGCTTCATGCAGAGGTTTAGTATTATTCATGAAAATTGTGACTCCACATCCAGAAATAGGGCAAAAGTGGCCTAAAATAGGATGGCTGTATCTCTGTTAAATCCACCAGGCAATTACAAACATCTCTTGCTACAAACTGTAAAACAGGTTTTGCTCAACTATGTTAATCAGACACACTAGAAGTACAATATGCTGCCAGACTCAATGTCTGAGGTCCGGCTTGATGGGGAGCCCTGGTCCCCACAGGGTAAACTGAAGGGTTTTCCAAAGAACCAAAGCCAGACACCACCCACCCTCTATCCCCAGAAACCAGGTACTATAGAGCTCTCATTCCCAACTTCTACAAATCTCTCTGCCCAGACCATCTCAAGGCTAGCTTTAGAGATTTTAGAGGGTTATCAAGGGGCCACAGAAAAACTGAAATAATATTTAATTTTCCTTTTTTGGAACAGGAAAGCATATCCGGTAAATATTACAAATTAGAGGCATACTAAGCGGTTTATAGCATTTTGTTATAATTCTTTCTTCTGGAACCTGGTTTCAATGACCACATGAATCAGTCCCTATTGGCCCAGACTGTATTTTAGAAATGCAAGTCAAAGATTATCTTTCCAAATAAAAGTGCCCAGATTGAAACCCCCTCTTTACCACTCCCAAGAGAATGACACAGGCTGGTACTAAAAGACTATCTTTGTGTTGAACAAATGGACCGAGGAAAATCTGCTTTCCTCTCCCTCTGCTTCTTTCTTCTTTACATAACTAGAGGCAAATGAGATGTTTTTCATTTTAAAAATTTGATTAAGCAGACTGAGCAAAAGCCCATTCTTCTGGTCTTTACTGTTTTCTAAGTTTGGGGACTGGATGAAGGCACACTCAGGTTGGAAGGATAGTGAAGCTAAGCAAAAGGTGAGTACTAGGTCTGCAGCACTGGTCAGGGGCTGCCTTTCCCCCTGGAGGCCTCAGCATTCAGATGCTATTCCAGGTATCAGTGAAAGGGTTGCCAGATCCCATACACAAGACTCCTGACCTGAGAGGTGAGAAAGAGGGCAATGCAAAGAGCAGGTTTAAATAATAAGAAAAAAATAACCCAGATAGGATGTTACGAATTCACTGTCTTTTTCCTCAGCTCTAGGCACTGAGCTCTTCTGGCATATTTTAAAATACATTATATATACTACATTAATAGACTCCTTATAGAAGCAGATCTTGCTTTAGTTTCTGTGGTTCAAACCTTCTGCAAGACCTTTCTACACACAGTATTTTCTTTACCTTGTTTAAAAGTATAGTCATGTATCTCTTAGGCAAGGTTTCGCTCTGAGAACTGCATTGTCATATAATTTTGTTGTTGTGTGACCATCATAGAGTGCACTTGCACAAACTGAGATGTGATAGTCTACTACACACCTAGTCTATAATGGGATAGCCTGTCACTCCTAGGCTACAAACCTGAGCAGCATGTTACTGTACTGAATACTGTAGGCAACTGTAACATAATGGTAAGTACTTCTGTATCTAAACATATCTAAACATAGAAAAGGTACAGTACAAATACTGTATACAAGATAAAAATTGGTTTACCTATTTCATGGCACTTGCCACGAATGAAGCTTACAGGACTGCAAGTTGCTCTGGGTGAGTCAGTGAGTGAGTGGTGAGTGAATGTGAAGGCCTAGGACATTACCATACATTACTGTAGACTTTATAAACACTGAACATTTAGGCTACACTAAATTCATTAAAAATAATTTTTCTTGAATAATAAATTAACCTTAGCTTACTATAACTTTTTTACTTTATAAACTTTTTAATTACTTTAGCTTTTTGACTATTTCATAATAACACTTAGCTTACAACACAAACACATTGTATAGCTGTACAAAAATATGTTCTTCCCTTACATCCTTTTTTTTTTTTTTTTTTTTTTTGGAGACAGACTCTTGTTGTGTTTCCCAGATTGGAGTGCAGTGGCATGATCTCAGCTCAGTGCAATCTCTGCCTCCCAGGTTCAAGTGATTCTTGCTGTTCAGCCTCCCAAGTACCTGGGATTACAGGTGCATGCCACCAAACCTGGCTAATTTTTGTATTTTTAGTAGAGATGGGGTTTTGCCATGTTGGCCAAGCTGGCCTGGAACTCCTGGCCTCAAGTGATCTGCCCGCTTCAGCCTCCCAAAGTCCTGGGATTACAGGCGTGAGCCAACGTGCCCAGCCTTTATATCTTTCTTCTATAAGGTTTTTTCTATTATATTTTTTAAATGTTTTACTTTCATTTACTTTTTAAACTTTTTTAAAAAAACTAAGACACAAACACACACAATAACCTAGGCCACACAAGGTCAGGATCATCAATATCACTGTCTTCCACCTCCACATTTTGTCCCACTGGAAGGAGACAATAACCCACATGGAGCTGTCATCTGTGAAAACAATGCCTTCTTCTAGAATACCTCATGAAGGAGCTGCCTGAGGCTGTTTCACTGTTAACTGCTTTTTTAATAAGTAGAAGGAATATAGTCTAAAATAACAGTAAAAAGTATAGTATAGTAAATACATAAACCAGTAACATAGTTGTTTACTATCATTATCAAGTATTATGTACTGTACATAATTGTATATGTTATACTTCTGTGTGACTGGAAGTGCAGTGTGTTTATTTATACCAGCATCACCACAAACACATGAGTAATGTGTTGCACTACAGCATCATGACAGCTACAACATCAGTAGGCAACAGAAATTTTTCAGCTCCATTATAATCTTTATATACATATATAAAGACTAGTCCACGCCTGTAATCCCAGCACTTTGGGAGGCCAAGGCGGGCGGATCACCTGAGGTCAGGAGTTCAAGACCAGCCTGACCACATGGAGAAACCCCGTCTCTACTAAAAATACAAAATTAGCCGGGCGTGGTGGCACATGCCTGTAATCCCAGCTACTCGGGAGGCTGAGGCAGGAGAATCACTTGAATCCAGGAGGCGGAGGTTGCAGTGAGCCGAGATGGCGCCGTTGCAGTGAGTTGAGATGGCACCACTGCACTCCAGCCTGGGAGACAGAGTGAGACTCTGTCTCAAAAAAAAAAAAAAAGACTAGTCAAGTGTAGTAGTGAGAAGGGAAGAAAGAAGGAAGAAAGAAGAGTAGAAAAAGAAGTGTGATCTGTAACTGACTGAACAATCAGTTGAGATACTCCATATGGGACCACCATTGTATATGTGGTCTGTTTTGTGTGGTGCATGACTGTATCTTTTTAAGATTCATCCTATACCATACACTCCTGAGGGTCAGGGTATCCTATTGTCTTTGTAGTTTGCATATAATAAACAGTGAATACAGGTGCCGGGTGTGGTGGCTCACGCCTGTAATCCCAACACTTTGGGAGGCCTAGGCGGGCGGATCACGAGGTCAAGAGATCGAGACCATCCTGGCCAACATGGTGAAGCCCCATTTCTACTAAAACACAAAAATTAGCTGGGCGTGGTGGTGCACGCCTGCAGTCCCAGCTACTGCGAAAGCTGAGGCAGGAGAATCACTTGAACCTGGGAGGTGGAGGTTGCAGTGAACTGAGATCACGCCACTGCACTCCAGCCTGGTGACAGAGCCAGACTCTGTCACAAAAAAAAAAAAAAAAAAAAAAGGAAAAAAAGTGAATACGGGAATAAATGAATGAAACAGTTAGAAAACAGGCATTTTAGTAAAAGGCTGAAGAAATTGGGTTGTGAGTTATTATTATAAACAGTAGAACATGTTAGGCTAATGTGGGTAAAAGAACTACCACATGAGCTTTGTATGGTATTTAGCAAGGCATTTATCAAATATTACTTCTGGGGACCCATTCAAATCCAAGTAATAAGTAGTGCCATAACTGAGTTTCACTATGTATAAAGATGTTCATTCCAAAAAGTACAAGATATTTTTCTCCCCTAGGCTGCTTCTGAGCGGTTGCCCTCTCTATACCTGAAAGAATCAGAAATTAACCAAAAGTAGGAATTCTCATGGGGCTTACCCATCAAGGGAATACCTTTAGAATGAGGTGCTAAGGAAATCAGCATTCCTATTCCTGAAAAGCCTCAACAAGAGAAGTGAAAATCCTCGCCCAGGATGGCTTCTCCTTTCACATGCTCCATGAAATCCACCAGCCTAACTACCTGACCTCTGGCAGGGGCCTCCCTCTACGCACTCTTAGTGTTCACAGTCCTGTAAACCATCACATTGGGTATTACAGTCTTACTCTGGCAAGCAGGTATCTCACAGTACTTCCAGTAGACACCATCCTCGTGCTCTGCCACATAGCACCAGGGGCTCACGTCTCCATCTGGATTTCTGTTGGGGAAAAGGACACAATTGATGACTTCTGATGTTTTAATTCAACTGGTTCATTGCTTTTCAGTTTTACAGAAAAGGAAATGCTTTAGCTTCTGTATTATTTCTAATAGTTGGTCTGTATCTCAGTGCCATCTCTCATCAAAAGGGAAAAAATGGTAATATTACAAGAACAAACATATCTATTCTGACATATACTTCAGAGTTTGGGGGGAAGTGAGTAAAGGTAATATATGTTTGGGCAAATTCACTATAGCATAACTAGGACAAATGGCCACTGCACACATCATGCCAAATAGCACTGGCACCTTGAATGTGAGCATGGAGATTCCAAGGCTGAGTAAGCACAGGGGCTCTCAATGCCGCTGATGAATATGCAAACTGACACAAATGGTCAGAGCGGCAATTTGGGAATTAGAGCCAAAGGCCCTAGAAATATGCAAACCCTCCACTTGGCAATTTCCTCTTTAGGAATTTATTCTAAGGAAATCTTACCTATAAAGATGTTCAACAAAACATTTTTATAATATAAAAAACAGGTGGAAACAGCAAATATCCAACAATAAAGGTTTGGTTAAATAAATTGTATATCCATAGAAGGGAATATGTGGTATAGAGACCAGTCTTATTAATTTGCAAATATATTCACAATGTCTTATGAGGCTTTTTTTTTTTTGAGACAAACTCTCAATCTGTCACCCAGGCTGAGCTGGAGTGCAGTGGCATGATCTCGGCTCACTGCAACCTCCGACTCCCAGGCTCAAGCGATTCTCCTGCCTCAAGCCTCCCGAGTAGCTGGGACTACAAGTGCCCGCCGCCATGCCTGACTAATTTTTGTTTTTAGTAGAGGTGGGGTTTCACCATATTGGCCAGTCTGGTCTCCAACTCCTGACCTCAAGTGATCTGCCCATCTCGGCCCCGCAAAGTGCTGAGACTACAGGCGTGAGCCACCGTGCCCAGCCTTATTAGATTTTTTTTTTAAAGAGGCAGTTATAAAACCCAATAGATGACATAATTCCATGTTTTGAAAAGACTTATTTAGGAAAGAATGTACACCAAACTCTTATAAAGTATCTCTAGACACTGGAACTACTGGTGATTTCAGCTTTTTTTCTTTTCTGGTTTTATTTTATTTCCTCTATAGTGAATACTCCAATGGTGTAATTTTTAAACAGTAAAACAAAATTCACTTAATAAAGACTCCACTGGGCCAGGCGTAACAAGAGCGAAACTCCGTCTCAAAAATAAAAAAATAAAATAAAAATAAAATACAGACTCCACTGACAAACTTTCACCAGGACGAGGCTCACATTTGCTAGAAATGGGTGCTATTCCTTCCTCAAAATGCTGACTCCTCAGAGAATACTGAAGAAAACTGCGTCAGAGTCTCAGCTAGAACTTGTGATCCTGTCATGAGGTATCAACTTCTGATATGGAGATAATATTTTTTAAAGCTCTATTTCACATTTCTAAATGAGAATGGCCTGGAATAAATACATGCTTTAAGGTCTTTTCAACTCATAGGTGGCATAACAATAACAAGCAACACTACTGAAGCAGATAAATAAAATGGCAGGGGCTACTGGACACACAGAAAAGGCTCGCCTCTCTTCACCGCTTTCCAAGCCCCTTTTATTTAGACTCAGAACACTGGAAAGCTGACACTCCGGTTAGGCCGGAAATGGGCATAAAGATCCTGCAGCAGGAGCTGGGAGCAACCCCTATCAGGCCAGAGTGGGCTAAGCCTGTCATGTGGCGTAGAAGATAAGCTTTCCCAAAGTACAAAGCGTCCTTTTGTTTCTTGTGCCCAAAGGCAGGTGCCAGCACCAACTCTGCTCTTCCCCAGTCTCTGCCTTCCCTTCTAAGCCAGTTACTTTGAGCCCAGAAAAGTGCATTCCCATCACTCACCAACTCTCAGACATCTCTAATGTGATGGGTCTGAAAAAGTCACACAAGACAAACATGGTGTCGGGTGTCAGTTGAGAAATCAAAGTAGGAGAACTTGTACAAAGCCCTTCTTTAAACAGTATTTCATTGTCATTTTCCTCCCTCTATTCGGTGTTCAGCTTTGATGTATTTATTTGGTAAAGCCCTTAGAAAACTGTTTATTATCAATGTCAAAACCATATTGAAAAGCATCAGAATAGCTTAATAAAGAACAAGCAAATTCATCCTTGACTTTGCTGCAGTGCTAAAACAAAAGGCCTGGGCTCTTTGATGTGATAATCAACAATTTCAGCCTCCCTTTTCCAAAGTATAAACTGGTATTAAATAGTTCAGGTCTCCTGCATTCCATCAAATCAAACGAGAGGGTTTGATGTGATGGCTGATCAGGGCTAAGGAGAAAGGTGGTCCCTCCTGGCTCTCACTGCTCTCTTAATGGATGTTTATGGGTACATTTCTAGAAGCCTGTGAGTAGAAGTGGGTGCTAATCCACAAGAAAGAAAAATTTTTCACATAAATTAGGCCTCACTGGAAACTTAAAATTTACCTTAAAGTCAGACTTAAAAACATGAGCTCTTCTGAGAAGACTTGCTTGATAGGAAGCAACAGAGCAATAGAATAAACCAACAGCCTACTACCAAGAGATATTTTGGAACAAGAAGATAAGCAACTATGGAAAAACAAAAACCAAATACTTGTCTCTCTTCCTAAACACTCTTCCCAACCCAACCAACTATTCCTATGAATAGAAAACCTAGGGGAAGGTAATAAAAAATGGGGTGGGACTAATTTTTTAATTTATGCAAAAAATAAATTAACATGTATAACTTGGAAAATAAAATATAAAAGAACTATTTAATAAGCATGTGTAACTTGAACAATAAAATACAACAGATAGCAAAATGTGAAGTGGCAAATACCCAAATTGGTTGTCTCTGGGACTTGGGACTTGGTGGGGAGGGTTTCAGGGAAAATAGGTAAAATGGGGAATTTTAACTATTTAAACCACATATATTTGTGGTGTTGGAGAAGTTTTTTTTTTTAAGAATAAGCTTTTAACACTTTTATAACAAACAAAATAAGTCAATAGCAACTAGGAGGGAATGGTCAGTTGATACAAGATAGAGAAAGGTATAGGGATAAAGAAAACATAGACTAAAGGCCTGGTGACTTTGAGACAACTACAAGGGCCCTAGAGCGTTAGCAAAGGTATGTAGAGGGCAGAAGGTAAACAGTGTGGCCCATACAATACAGGAAAATATATGTTGGCTCAGCTGCGTCAACAGTGCCATGGTTGAGATTCCAATGTATGTAGAACCAGGGACAGGGTATATAGTTCAACAATCATTTTTCCCTGTCCCAGTAGCTCAAGAGGCTGCCTTTGCACCTGTACTAATAATAATTAAATTCAATGCATTGCTGAACCATAAGTCTCATTACCAGGATCTTGGGCATAAGCAGCACAAATGTATAACCAAAAGTGCTTACAGTCTTTGTTCTGGACCCTACATACCAGTGATCCTGAACTTGTTTTCAATCACAGATAACTTTGAGAAGCTGATCAAAGCTATGGATCATCCCCAGGAAATTGTGAATCACTTTTGAAGCACCATAGATGTCAGGTTAAGATCCCCTGCTAGAGTCAGACGGGAGGTGAAAAGCAAAGAAACACCTTAGTCGACTAAAAGGAAGTAAATGGCACACATCTGATGGATACAGCTGTTCCCAGAGCAAGGTTATCCTGGGCTGGCCGGAGGCACAACAATGTAGGCAGCTTCCTTTGCTCAGAAGCAGAGGGAGATTTGGGTCACACATGGTGCTGTCTGACCACGACATTCTCGGTAGTGTAGGCTGCTCTGCTAACTGTGTATTGTCCACTGGTGGTAGGGCTAACTAAGAAAACCCTCCCAAAGAGACAAGGAAGTGATCAGACAGAAAAGCAGAGCTTTCAAAGCCAGCATTAAAACAACCCATGTTGAAAAGAGTGGTAAATTGGCCGGGCGCGGTGGCTCACGCCTGTAACCCCAGCACTTTGGGAGGCTGAGGCGGGCGGATCACAAGGTCAGGAGATCGAGACCATCCTGGCTAACACGGTTGAAACCCTGTCTCTACTAAAAACACGAAAAATTAGCCGGGCGTGTTGGCGGGCGCCTGTAGTCCCAGCTACTCGGGAGGCTGAGGCAGGAGAATGGCGTGAACCCGGGAGGCGGAGCTTGCAGTGAGCCGAGATCGCGCCACTGCACTCCAGCCTGGGCGACAGAGCGAGACGCCGTCTCAAAAAAAAAAAAAAAGAGTGGTAAATTGTGTGTGTGTGTGTGTGTGTGTGTGTGTGTGTGTGTGTGTGTAAGGTGTGAAAGAAATATTTTTAAAACTGACAAGATAAGTCTCTTGAGTTGGTCAAAAGACTTCCCCTAGTTGTGAGCTGGGATGAAAGGGGTTGGAAGAAGAGACTAGATATATATCTATCTTTTTAAAGTACTGAGTGGCCCCATCTTACCTGCAATAGTTGTGCTCACCCAGGCCCCCCTCCCCGTTGGGGTATTTCAGAGTGTTGTATGGATGCTGGAAAGTCTCGTTCCAAAACAGACATGGCTTCCCGCCTTGTAGTGCTGTCCAGTTCTGTGTTCCCCTATAATCCGCACCATTGGCTGTGAAACACTCTAGAAGAAAAAAAAGACAGAGCAAACTAATTTTCTGGCAACATTCATGGTTTCCTCCCTCTTTGGTTGATGTTTTGTTTTGTTTGGACCAAGCTGGAAATGGATAGTGTCTTGCTAGATCCTGGACACAGTGCAGTTAACACTTCTGGGGCTGAATAAATCTGAAACAAGGTACCCTCAAAAAGCTAGGCTAATCTTGGCACTAGCTTGTCTACAGACACTAGAACATTTTCCCCTAAAGTATACAGATCCCAACTAGGAAATAAACAGGGAGCTGAAGTGTACTGAAGCCCATGAAGTGAACCAGGAAACCCCTAAATCTGGGAACAGTTGGTAACAGCCATCCATGTGGAATTCTGGATACTCTGAGGGGGTCACTGCTCTCGCCAGTGGCTCTGTGTGGTAACTGGAACCAGGTCACCAGCTGTAACTGAGCTCTTCCCTACAGTCTGAAAGGCTGCACTGACACTTGGATTTAATAAGATCATCGGATACAGCAATGCTTTGGAATCCCAATCACACAAATCTGGGAATGACTCACATTCCCTGGTAATGAAGAACAGTCCTCCCCATGCTGTTTGAGATAGAGGTGGAACAAAACAGACAGTCAACATGAGGGAGGAAGGGCCGGGCTGGCATTTTCTCTCACCTCTTTCTGAAATTCTTTTGATGAGGCACATTGAAAATGGTCTCAGGTCCAATTTAATAAAATGACAAATCCTCACAGGTGCAACAATGTGTTTCTAAAATCTGCTTCTCAGACTTTGGGGGATGGGGACTGAGGCTGATAGGATTTTCACCCACATATTGCATGCATTAAACTCGAAGAGGTTCATGAGACAGGCACAGTACAAAGAACAATTTTTTAAAATTAGCTTAGTTGAAACTGACAGAAGCACTTCAAACACTTCTTTAAGATATATCATTAGAAAACTGACAACCTGGGGGAGTTACACTAGCATTCTTAGCTGCATTTCTTTCCTTCTCCTGGCATGCACTGACCTATAACTTCCAGTATTAAGGACTCTTAATGCCATCTCCTGTTGTCATCCATGTGCCTACTCCAGTCTAAGCGTGTGAACAACATGAACACATTCTGGCAGATATTTCTTTTAATACTTCAAACTATCCACAGAACATCTCTCTTCCAGCACCTCCTTCCTCTGACCATCCAGGCCCTGTGTTTTGTCTGGAATGGCACCATTTTATGGATAGCCAAAATAATCTGAATGTCCACCTATGCAAGAAACCCTAGGAATTTATTTTTTATTATTTTTATTTTTTGAATGGAGTCTCACTCTGTTGCCCAGGCTGGAGTGCAGTGTTGCAATCTTGGCTCACCACAACCTCCGCCTCCCAGGTTCAAGCGATTCTCCTGCCTCGGCCTCCCTAGTAACTGGGATTACAGGCACCCACCACCATGCCCAGCTAATTTTGTATTTTTAGTAGATACAGGGTTTCACCATGTTGGCCAGGCTGGTCTCAAACTCCCAACCTCAAGTGATCCACCCACCTGGGCCTCCCAGAGTGCTGGGATTATAGGTGTCAGCCACCACACCCCACCAACCCTAACAATTTATCATGTTTGGTGCAATGCTCATGTGTTATGATAAGTGCAACTCTTCGTGTACCATAAGGACCAAACCCCTCTACCAAGAGTCTGCACAAATAAGTTCAAAGGAGGCATAAATTGAAGGAGGCAGTTCAGTGTCGCATAAAATGCACTAAACCAAGAGACTAAGCCTTGGCTTCTTGTCCTGGACCTGCTGCTGACCAGCTGTGCGACCTTGGATGAATAAACATCATCCAAATCACTTCTAATATTTACACAGTGTTTTACCATGTGCCAAACTCTGTCTAAGTGCTTCACAAATGTCAACTTGCCACCAACCCAGAGAGGTACCTTAGTACCCCATTTTACAGATAAGGGAGCTGGGCACTCGACCACACCCTATACTGCCTCTAATGGACCCTCCTCAGCATCATTCTTGCTTCTCCCATTCTCTCCCTCACTCCACTTCCGATTCGTCAGCAAGTCCTGTTGACTTCCCTAAAACATACACCCTGAAACTGCCTTCTCTCCATCTTTGATGCCACCAGTATAGTCCCCTTTATCATCAGAGAACAGTTTGGGTCTCACAGCTTCCACTTCTGTTCTCTCACAATCCATTCTCCATAGTTCTTAAAAGAATGATGGCACTCAAAACAAAACTCAGACTCTTCCTCGGTGTCTGCAAGGCCTCTGTGATGCAGCCTCAGCCCCTTCCTCCCATGAAGCAGAGCTCTTCCCTTACTCACTCGCTGTGCTTCGGCCACACTGGTCTGCTTTTAATTCTGTGAACACACTATGCTATTTCCTGCCCAAAATGTTCTTCCCCTAATACTTCCCATCACAGACTGAACACTACCTTCTCAGAAAGCCCTTCTCATCATCTTTACTCCTATTTTTCTGCCCTTTGTTTGCTTCACAACACTTACTATCACAAGAAATATATGTGATCTGAGAGAAAGAGAGAGAGAGAGACAATGTGTGTGGTATGTACCACACCAGACACACCAGAGCTCTATCCCAATCCCAGAGCTAGAGCAGGACCTGAAACCTGTATTTCTGAAAGGCAGCCCAGGTGGTTCTGTTAAGCAATCAGGTTTGAGAACCACTAGACTAGATGATTCTAAGAACATCAGCCAACCCTTGCCAATTGCTAGAATTTTAATTGCTGTGTGTTAATACATGTTTTTCTCCTATCAGAATTTGTACATCAAAACATCATACTGTACCCCTTAAATATATAGGATAAAAATAAAATTTTTTTTAAAGTGTGAAGGGTGATCCAGGGGCCAGAAATCAGAGATGCAGCTCAATAGATCAATGGAAGGTCTTAGCTATACATAGCAAACTGCAGGACAGGTGGGGTTCCTGAGACTCGGATGACTTGGTTTGTAATACAAAAGAATGTAGCAGAATGTGTAATAAAAAGAATCCATGGCCGGGCACAGTGGCTCAAGCCTGTAATCCCAGCACTTTGGGAGGCCGAGGCGAGCGGATCACCTGAGGTCAGGAGTTCGAGACCAGCCTGGCCAACATGGAGAAACGCCGTCTCTACTAAAAATACAAAATTAGCCGGGGGTGGTAGTGCATGCCTGTAATCCCAGCTACTTGGGAAGCTGAGGCAGGAGAATCGCTTGAACCCAGGAGGCGGAGGTTGTGGTGAGCCGAGATCGTGCCTTTGCACTCCAGCTGGGGCAACAAGAGTGAAACTCTGTCTCAATAAATAAATAAATAAAATGCACACACATGACAGTCCTCATGGAGACGAGATGGCATCTGAGAGTGGAAATGGGAAAGTGCAGGCTTCTTTGCTTGGGTCTGTTCCTCTCAGACCCAATCTTGTTCTCAGTTACACTGGTGAAACTGAGGCAGTGTATCAGATTCTGTGATTGTTTTTTGACCAGACTTGCCCAGTACATATCAATTACAGAGAAAAGCAAGGGAAACCAACTCGAATGCTCTGCATTTAAAGTCATCTAGCGCATCTTGATTTCATCAGAGTACTAGGGTGTATGTTAGGTAAATAGGACCCTACCTCCCTTATTTTTTTTCTTCAAAACAGTGATTTTATTTCCTTTGAATATATACCTAGAACTGAGATTGCTAGAATATGGTCATTCTATTTTGAATCATTTGAGGAACCTCCACACTGTTTTCTATCGTGATCATGTTAAGTTTTTTAACTTTTATTTTGGGTTCAGGGGTACATGTGAAGGTTTGTTACACAGGTAAACTCATGTCACAGGGGTGTGTTGTACAGATTATTTCATCACCCAGGTACCCAACAGTTATCTTCCTGCTGATCTCCCTCCTCCCACCCTCCACCCTCAAGTAGACCCCAGTGTCTGCTGTTTCCTTCTTTGTGTTCATAAGGTCTATCATGTAGCTCCCAGCCTCCCTTATTTTCTACTGCTACGAAACTGATGTAAGCTTTGGCTAAATAAGCAAGGAGCGGCTTAAACCAGTAAGAAACACACACACACAGAGCCAACTGTTTATTTACGTATTCAGTGAAAAGAGAATGAGTGAAAGCAAGAGATCTAATGTCTAGGAAATTATTCATTAATTAGTTCAGCAAATATTTATTCAATACTATGTGCCTGGCACTGTTCACAGCACTGGGGCTACAGAGATGAACAAATATCCTGTATTCATGGAGCTTACATGTTTATAATAAACTGATCAAAATGAACATCAGATAGTGATAAGTGCTATTAGAAGGAATGAAGCAGAGTAAAGGGAGTACGATGGAATGGTGAGGGTTCTCTCCTAGGGTGGGTCAGGGAAAGCCTAGTGAGCAGAGATGTGGATGAAGGGAGGAAGCAAACCCAGTGAACGAGGCGGCAGGTGTGTAACTGGCAGAGGGTCCAGCAAATGCAAAGCCCCTGCAAATGGCAATATGCTTGGCAGATTTGGGGAGCTACAAAGCTGCTCCTCTAATCTGACTGGAGCAGGAGAATGAGCAGGGAAGGGCAGGCAAGGTCAGGACGTGTAAGGTCTTGAGGGTTAGATAAATGAGATTTTGGCTTTTGTTCTAAGTGTAAGGGGAAGCCACTGGAGGGTTTAGAGCAGGGGAATGACATAATGTGACTTATCTTTATTTATTCATTTTTGTGACTTATCTTTTAATAGAATTGTCTAGCTGTTGGGTGGAGGAAAAACAACTGACAGGCAGGACCTAGGCAGGGAGAAAAGTAGGTAGTTACTGTAGAAGGATGGGCGAGAAACAAGGATGGCCTGGACTAGGCTGGCAGCTGTGGGGTGGTGAGAAGTGGACCGATTCCAGATATATTTTGAAGGTAGTGGCAAAAGTATTTGCTGGGGGTTTGGATACAGGGTCTGAGAGACAGATGGGTCACACAGCACACCAAAGGGGCCTGAGCAACCAGCTGAGTAGTGATACCATTTACTGTAATAGGGAGGGCTCAGGAAGGTCAGAGTGTTTTGGGGTAGAATTAAGAGTTTGGTTTTGGATAGGTTAAACTTGACATCTTCAGAAAACTGAGTGGAGATGTAGAGTACGCAAATGGCTACATGAGTCTGGAGTTGAGGAAAAAGGCTGAGGCTAAAGCTAGAAATATGGTCCCCAGCACTTACGTGTAGAGAGAATAGGATACTGTGTGTATCAGCCCCAACATCTGGGGCTGAGCCCTGGGGCCCTCCAACATACCACACTTGGCAATGATGACTGAGAAAGTACAGCCTGTGGGGTAGGAGAAAAGCTAGGAAAACTTTTTCAGTAATTTTTTTTTCTTTATCACACAACTTCTAGCAACAATGTGGTAGAGTATGGAAAGCGTATGTTAGGGGCTCTAGAGCCAGACCTCAGCTTTTCAGTTTACAAGCTACAAGCACTTGCCTAACCTCCTTGAGCCTCAGTTTCTTGACTTGCAAAATGAGAGATTTGATTATCTACAGCTCAGGGCAGTTGGAAGAATTGGAACGTGTGCAAGTAAAGTACTCGGTACATAGTAGGTATTCAAAAATTATTATTGTATAATCATAAAGGTATAAAAATAATCAAACTTTATATAAGCTTAGAAATATTATAAGCATCATGATAACTGAGGTTATTCTGAGGCCAGGTGCGGTGGCCCACGCCTGTAATCCCAGCACTTTGGGAGGCTGAGATGGGCAGATCACTTGATATCAAGAGTTCGAGACCAGCCTGGGCAACATGGCGAAACCCCATCTCTACCAAAAATACAAAAAATTAGCCAAGCGTGGTGGTGTGTGCTTGTGGTCACAGCTACTCAGGAGACTGAGGTAGGCGGATCGCTTGAGCCTGGGAGGCAGAGGTTGCAGTGAGCCAAGATCGCACCAAGGCACTATACCCTGGGTGACAGAGCGGGAACCCCATCTCAAAATATGTGTGTGCGTGTGTGTGTGTGTGTGTGTGTGTATGCACGCGTGCACGCGTGCGCACGTTATTCTGGTCCATAAAATAATTAGCTATAAAAGGTAAGATAACATGAGTATGTGGGCACATCATCCTACTACAATTCTGTTTAAAGTTAGGCTACCATCAAGATGGAACATATATATGGTTTGAATCCTGTGTTGAATCCTAGCGTTCAATGGATAAGCGGTAAGGGAAAAAGATACAGAGGAGCAAATAGGTTTTTCTTAATCAAAATTTCAGCTATAAATATGATGAAACACATCTTCATTTATTTATGCTACTAAAACCACATAATTCAATATTTATACTAATCATAAGTGAGGAAAACACAAGTTAATAGAGTCCCAGGAAAAATTCTGCCAGGTTGTATAATACCTGCTCTGCAGTTTTAAAGTTCATGTTTAAACTATAACAAGGTATTCTTTTAAAATAATTAAAACTTGGCTGGGCGTGGTGGCTCATGCCTGTAATCCCAGCACTTTGGGAGGCCAAGGTGTGCGGATCACCTGAGGTCGGGAGTTTGAGACCAGCCTGATCAATATGGAGAAACCCCATCTCTACTAAAAATACAAAATTAGCCGAGCATGTTGGTGCATTCCTGTAATCCCAGCTACTTGGGAGGTTGAGGCAGGAGAATCACTTAAACCCGGGAGGCGGAGGTTGCAGTGAGCCAAGATCGCACCATTGCACTCTGGCCTGGGCAACAAAGAGTAAAATTCCGTCAAAAAAAAAAAAACTTGACATGTATAAGATAGTGGTAGGAAAACAGTAGTTAATCTAAAAGACATCCTAATCTTTGGTAAGATTTAATAAAGCTGAAGAATATGCTCTCTATAAAACTCTATAACTAGGTAATTCTTAATTTGTCCAAAAACACACTATTGAGAAATACAACATTTTTCTCTATATTCTTGGTTTTCTGGTAGAATTACTAGTTAGATCTCTACATATGATGCTTATGAGAGTCATTGTTTTTTTTTAATCCACCAAAGTTAAGTCTCTGTTCTCTGTGGGACCGCTTAGCACTTCTACTGATCTTATGTTGGAAGAATCTGTCTGGTTTTAGCCTGGCTTGAAATCAACATGAATCAATTCACATTAAATTCAATTACAGCATCTTAAAGCAAGACAGCAGAGAACATATTCCAATGAGAATATCCTTCGTTCTTTAAAAAAGTCTATGAAACTTGGTAGGTAGATAGATTATAGAAATCTAAGGTTTAGGTATAAATGCTTTTTTTAATATTTAGAGGGTATGGCTCATGCCTGTAATCCCAGAACTTTGGGAGGCTAAGACAAGAGGATCACTTGAGCCCAGGAGTTCAAGACCAGCCTGGGCAACATAGGGAGACCTCCATCTCTACAAAATTAAAATTAAAATTAAAATTAAAAATTTGCTGGGTGTGGTGGTGTGTGCTTGTAATCCTAGTTATTTGGGAGGCTGAGGTGGAGCCCAGGAAGTCAAAGCTGCAGTGAGCCATGGTCATGCCACTGCACTCCAGCCTGGGCGATGGAGTGAGACCCTATCTCAAAAAAGATATATATAGAGAGAGGGCAACATGACAGTGCCGTCAAATATTCACATAGCACACCTATCGCCCTGTTGGGTTTCAAATACGGACTGGTGCCCGGTGGGAACTTGCACCACTTTGAAGCCCCTGGGCAGACTACCCTTTGCCCTCAGACACTCAAAAGCACTATGGGAAAGCTGATTTCAGTTATGTGAAACCCTGTAGTAAAGGGGCATGTGGCCCTGGGAAGGCAGGGGTTCCCAGCCTTTTCCAACCCAACACCACTGAGGCTGTGATAGGACACACTCCCATCTTCAAAAATGGCTCTCCAAGAGCAGTGATTTCTACAATTACATAGAGGAATGTCATCAGATCTAGAATAGAGAGAGGACAGTTTAGGGAAAAAACAACAACCCTGTACACACATAGTACATATGGAGAATCAGTGCAATAAAGGGGAAATGATATCAGAGAAGCAGCTAACACTGTGGTTTGAACAAACCACTCAGACATCATTGGGCCTCAGTTTCTTCCTTGGTTTCCTCATCTGTGAAATTAGGAGAGTCGAGCCAGATTATCTCAACGTCCCTTCACTGTAAATGTCTGCAATTTCAAGTTCAAGATCTAAATAAATGAAAATCAGGTCCAAAAGTCTGGGGTGATATGACTGGAAAGTACTCATGGCTAAAAATCTCTTCCAGGCTTAAAATTCTCTAATTCTACGTTTCTCTAATGGAAGTAAGAATTATATGGTTAAAAAAAAAAAAAACCTCACCTCCCATGTGGGCCTTCCCTCTGAGAGGCACTTAGGCACTTTTTTTTTTTGAGACAGGGTATTGCTCTGTCACACAGGCTGGAGTTCAGTGGAGCAATCATGGCTCACTGCGGCCTCTACCTCCTGGGCTCAAGTGATCCTCCCATCTCAGCCTCCCACATAGCTGGGACTATAGGCATGTGTAACCACACCTGGCTAATTTTTTAATTTTTTGTAGATATGGGGTCTACATTGTCTAGGCCAAACTCAAACTCCTGGGCTCAAGCTATCCACCTGCCTCTGCCTCCCAAAGTGCTAGGATTACAGGCAAGAGCTATTGTGCCCGGCCTACTTAGGCATTCTTCTTGCTTAAAAGAAACTACATCTTCAACAAGTAAATTGCAAGAAAAGAAAAAAAGGGGAAATCTAAGGCTTAATAGAGATTTAGGACTCACATTACCTAAATACACCTTGTTTAGATCCTGACTGAAGTGTAAAAAATACTAATAAGACAATCAGGAACATCTGAACATTGACTGGATATTTGATGGCATTAAGGAATTATTGTTTTTTTTTCTACGTGTAATAATGGTACTATTACTATGTTTTTGAAAGGAATCCTTAGCATTTAGAGATACATACTAAAATGTTTACAGATGAGGTGACATATCTGAAATTGGTTACAAAATAATGTAGTAAGGGGAATGAAGAGGGTATAGATGAAATAACATTAGCCATGGTTAATAATTGTGGGAGTCGGGAGATAGATACATGGGACTTCCTTATACTCTCTTCTCTATTTGTGTCCTAAATTTCCCATAATAAAAAATTTTTCAAAGAACATCTTGAAAATAGTTACCAACATGTTATTTTGAAATTAATCTACCTTAGCCTTTTTTCAAGAACTATAAACAAATTCGGCCATAAAGTTAGCCATCTAAAATCAAAATTGATACTCATATATCACGTTCTTGGATTATGTGTTAACAGTGCCAAATGACCATAGAACGAGCTGCCCTTTTGCCCAAAGTGGAATTACCACAACAAAAATCACTGTAATGTTTTATGTACTAGTAGCTTTTTTATTAAAATACCTTTTAGATCTTCTTTTCCATTTAAGGAGATGGTGCCCTTAAAAACAGTACGGAAGGAAAGGCCATGCCTCTCAAAGATACTTTAACTAAAGAATTTATACTTTTGGAAGGGGACATGAGGTCTTCTATTTGAATCTCCAGTTTATCTATCTCTACTAAGAGATGAAATATTTAATTACTTAAAAGACCATTATAAGAAAAACTGAACTTACAGGGTAAGCATAAGACCAGATGTTTGAATTCAGAAGAACCATGAAAACGCTTCGGAGAGAAGGCCTTATTTGTTAAATAAAAATTCAAAAAACAAATAATTATCAAGGCAGAGAAGGTCCAGAATGCAGTGGCTTGGGTACCACTCTTTTCCCATCTGGCTCTCATCTTGCATATGCTCCACTCCTACCCAGGCAGGGCCCCCTGGAAAACATGCCATGCTTGTCACTGTGAAGCATGTGTGTTTCTGCCAGGAATAGTCATCCTGAATATGCATTAGTGTTCAGGAATTTTTATTTATCATTTACCATATTATAAACCCATAAAATAGAGGTATTTGAGTCAGAGCCACTCCATCTTGAACAGCAGATGGGTAAAATGAGGCTGGGACCTGCTGGGATACATCCCAGTTTAGGCATTCTTAGTCACAGGATAAGATAGGAGGCCAGCACAAGACACAGGTCACGAAGATTTCGCTGATAAAACAGGATGTGGTAAAGAAGCCAGCCAAAACCCCCCAAAACCAAGATAGTGATGAAAGTGACCTCTGGTCATCCTCACAGCTCATTACACACTAATTATAATATATTAGCATGCCAAAAGACACTCCTACAAGCACCATGACAGTTTACAAATGCCACAGCAACATCCAGAAGTTACCCTATATGACCTAAAAAAAAGAGGATCCCTCAGTTCCGGGACCTCCTCACCCCCTTCCCGGAAATCTCATGAGTAATCTACCCCTTGTTTAGCATATGGTCAAGAAATAACCATAAAAATAGCCAACCAGCTGCCCTCGGGGCTGCTCTGCCTATGGAGTAGCCATTCTTTTGTTGATTTACTTCTCTAATAAACTCCTTTTCACTTTACTCTGTGGACTTGTCCTGAATTCTTTCTTTTTTTTTTTGAGATGAGTCTCACTCTGTCGCCCAAGCTGGAGTGCGGTGGCGCAATCTCAGCTCACTGCAACATCCGCCTCCTAGGTTCAAGTGGTTTTCCTGCCTCAGCCTCCCTAGTAGCTGGGATTACAGGCACCCACCACCATGGCTGGCTAACTTTTGTATTTTTAGTAGAGACAGGGTTTCCCCATGTTCGCCAGGCTGGTCTCAAACTCCTGACCTCAAGTGATCCGCCGGCCTCAGCCTCCCAAAGTGTTGGGATTACAGGCGTGAGCCACTGTGCCGGACCCCTGAATTCTTTCTTATGCAAGATCCAAGAACCCCCTTTTGGGGTCTAGATCAGGACCCCTTTCTCGTATCACAACCATCAAATTGAAGTCCAAAAGACACTTTTTGAGAAAAAAATGTCCATTAACCTATCAGCATTCAGGTCTATAATATGTAGAGATTAAACTTCAGTTAAAGAATGGACTCATTCAAATAGTCAAAAGTCACTGACTCAGCAGAACTCTAAGAAAAATATTTCATTTATTAACCAAAGCACCTTGATGGATTTTACTTCCAATACCAATAGAATATATTCTATTATACTTTGCTGATGTAAAGCATCTATCTCTCAATGTAATATGTGAGCACAAATAAATCTACCTTAGATATTTATTCATAAATATCTTCCTGAATCTTGAAATAAAATTTCATACTATAAAGTTTTCATAGACTTGGCAACATAGCGAAAAGCTGTCTCTACAAAAAATATTTTTTAAAAATTAGCCAGGCGTGGCGGCAGGTACCTCCCAGCTACTCGGGAGGCTGGGGCAAGGGTCTGTCTTGAGTCTGCAGTGAGCTGTAATCATGCCTGGGTGACAGAGTGAGACCTTGTCTCAAAAAAAGTTTTCACATAAGGATACAGGAAACGTGAGATATTTTAAAGCTGAAACTTCAGCTTGCTGATGGACAATACCTCAGCTCATTATAAGCCAGCTCTAAAGAAAACACAAAAACAAAAGGCGAACTATTTGAAGGCTCAGGGTCTAGAATAGGTAGCACTAACTTCTATAGAAACCAGAGGTTTTGAAACAAGTCACAGTGCCTGCTGCCACAGCTCTTAAAGGACTTGATTACCTTGAAGTGTAACTGCTCAGGAAGCACATAGCCCTGTTTCCAATAGCCTGTGAGCATCTTACTCACCTTTGTATTCTCAGCAACTACAGACCACATAGAAGGTGCCTGGCTAAGTGTCTGTTGAAAGAGGGAAGCTGGTGAATGAGGGGCTAGGGGAAAGCTCCATTACAGATACATTCAGGGTGCATTAGTTTCCTCACCAATGTATTCCTCCTAGGCCAGCCTCAAGACTTACCTAGCAATACCTATGAGAAGTTCTAGGAAAGTTCATGTAAATCAAGTACAAGTTTATGTAAATCAAGGAAATCAAATATTTGCTATTTAAACCAGGGACTCTGCTATTTAAAGGAAATGGATGGGGGCTGGGTGCAGTGGCTCACCCTTGTAATCCCAGTACTTTGGGAGGCCAAGGTGGGAGGATTACTTGAGGCCAGGAGTGCCACTGCCCCCCAGCCTGGGCAACAGAGCGAGACTCCATCTAAAAAATAAAATAAAATAAAATAAAATAAAAATATGAATTTTATATTCTTAGTTTGCTTTAAGCAGGAGGCACCCAGCTCAAATCTACGCCTTGCCTCACTATCACTTGAGCAACCTTTTTCCATGTTGTCTGAAGGTCAACTGGATATAATCCAGCTTCTAGACAAGTTTTGTTAGTAATGCCTGTGACCTATTTTTAATGTCAGATGGCAAGAAAATTCCCCAATAATAGAGTCCTGGAGGGCAGCCAATACTCCATGGAAGCCAGACTCTGGGCTTTTCAGTTTCCCTTGGCTGATATGGGATAGACAAATAATATAAGAGCTCCTGAGTGGGGAGCTGATACCAGGTAGACCATATATCTCTAGAGCACATTTCAAAGTAAAACTCGAAGCAACAAAGTTGTAGCCTTCTGTCAATTGGCACAGGGATAAGTCCTAATCAGAGATGCTGGGCACACAGGAGGAATTTGATAAGTACTTGTTAATTGGTCCCAACATAAAAATATGACTCAAGAGATGGGTTTCATAAGTTCTGGCCAGGGAGACAGTTTAGGGCAGAAGGAAAGGCTCAGTGTAACACTCATTTATAAGTAGATGGAACCATCATCTCTGGTCACTTGGAGCAATAAGAATAAGAGCAAATAGTGGCCAACAGATTAATTCTGATTGTCAAAGCTTTAAAGTTTCATGGAGTGTTCCATGAAGCTCGATTAGGGTTGCCAGATTTGACAAATAAAAACAGAATTCTCAGTTAAATTTGAATTTCAGATAAACATCAAAGAATTTTTTAAGACAAGTATTCCTAAACATTGCATGAAACAGACTTTAATTAAAAATTATTTGGTGTTTGTCTGAATCTCAAACTTAATTGGGCATCCTGTAATGTATCTGACAATTGTACTCTAGAGAGAATAAAAAGACACAGTGAATCACAGACCCCCTTACTGAATTAAGGTTTCTGAAACACTGTCCACAGAAATGCTTAAAGAGGTTAGATGTGGATAATGAAGAATCTGCTTAAGAGTGAAAAAAGATGCTGATCAGAATCAACTGTTCCTAGGCAGGCAACTAACAGTAAAAAGAAGGACGGGGGGAGTGGGGAGGGATAGCATTAGGAGATATACCTAATGTTAAATGACAAGTTAATGGGTGCAGCACACCAACATGGCACATGTATACATATGTAACTAACCTGCACGTTGTGCACATGTACCCTAAAACTTAAAGTATAAAAAAAAAAATTCATTGCTGGTAACAGGAAAGCTTGACGCTAAAAAAAAAAAAAAAAAAAAAGGACAAAAAAATAATACAATCAGGACGGGGTTTCTCAACCTCAGTGCTACTGACATTTTGGGCTGTATAACTCTTTGGCGTGGGGGCTCTCCTGTGCATTCTAGGATGTTTAGCAGCAGCATCCCTGGCCTCTACCGGCTAGATGCCAGTAGTACCTCTTTAGTTGTGACAGCCAAAATGTCTCCAAGTATTGCAAAATGTCCCCTGGGGGCAAAATCTCCTCCAGTTGAAATCACTGAGTTAGAAGAAATGGTCAAATAAACAGAAAGTGTCACACCCATTAACCAGTGGTCATATAACTAAAGATTGTTCTCAAGGGAGACTTTCTCAGCTCAGCCCCTGGCCCCCTCCAAGCCCCTAACAAAGAAGGCCTAGTCATTTCAGCTAAGACAACCAAAAACCCTTCATCTGCCAGAAGCGCTAGGGAAGAATCTTTGGTGAGCCAGGCCAGTGAAGCTCTGCATTGGCCATGCACACATCACAGCAAGCAGGGCATCGCACCCAGCCTTTGAAGACACTCCTTTTAAGTTAATCTCCCCTCCAACTAAACTTTTTCCAAATCTCTTCCTGCCATTTGGAAGTTGAGTGATTCTCAGCTGAAAAGGCCTGTATAGACGAGGTGCAGATGGCAGCAGTTACAGCCCTCACCAGATGCTACAGTCTCTAATTTGATTGAAAGGATATAATTAGACAACAGAAACACTTTAATGAAAGAGCAAAACATGGAGGGAGGGAAGGATTGAAGGCCCTTAACTGATGCCAAAACACCCACCAGTAATAGAGGCTTTGAGTCTGGGGAAAGGGAAGGGGAAAGCCCCTTAAAAGGACAGTCCCCATCCTGTTTATTTCCCCATAGACATAGGAATAGGGATTTTATTATTGTAGATTTCCACTGTATTTTATGTGGGAACAATCTGATTAGAACCAGAAGGGTCTTCGGAAGAACATCAAAGAAAAACAAATATGGCTTCTGTGGTCATTATTAAAAATATTTTTACCAGCCCAATAATTTTCTTTGAAGATGAATTTTTATAGATTGAACAACAGCAAGTAATTTACATACTGTGATGGGATTGGTTAGCAATCCCTACTAGTCTAGAAGAGAACTACTTGGTTGCCATGTTTTCCTCCAACTTTAGGACACTAAGGCACATGTACAGCCATCTAATATGTCTGTTTGGAAGGTGTGAAGAAACCACGCAGAGTCAATCATACACGCTGATAGCTACAGCCGCTCTGAATCACCTTTAAAAGTTGCCTACACTGTTTTTACTATTTCCTAGCTTTAAAATTTTGTGTGTGAGTATACCGTTCTGGTTCTAACCAAGAATCTAACCAAACTGAAAGAAATCCAGCCCTCAAAGTCTGCAGTTGCTAATGTGGTGTGACACTTGGGTTTGGAAGCAGCTGCAGCCTCCTCAGCCCACTAGAAGCAGGGCCCCGCCCTTGTGGCAAATTGAACAATAAAAGTTTAATGCTTTGGCTACTTGCCAGAGATTAAATCCGTGGCAAGGGAAGCTAGAAGCTGGGCCCGGCAGAGGGGTAGCTCTGAGAGGGCCCTGTTGTATAAATGCAGGGAGAGAGGCAACTTTGCGTGTGAGGTGGCCTAAAACATTTTGTCTGCCAAGGTGCTCCCTAGCACCCCAATTCATTCATTCCTCTTTAAACTGGTACAAGTGCAGGCTAGGAAGGTGTTTACCTAGAAAGAGAATTTAAAAGGAGGGGAAGGAATTCCCTTAGAAGAGAAGTCACGTTTCTGTGGAGTAGTTATTTGTGAGGTGTATGGACGCCAATCTGACATTTTTTTGCGATGGCCTCTTTCCTTTCCCTCATCAGTCTGAATACAGACAAAGTCTCAGAAGGTGAGGTAAGGGTTGAGGGAAGCACCGCCATCTTGGGAGGACAACTATGAAGATAAGACAGGGAGGAAAAATAGAGTGACCTCAGACTGCTCCTCCTAGACTAATACTTACGGGTTCCAGCTGGATTCTCAAGGTCAAACTGAATATAGAAGGAATGTCAGTCATCATTCTCACCAATGACAAGGCTGCCCAGTGAGCCGGCCAGAAGGTAACCTGCCAAGTGGCGTTGGGGGTGCTGGATCTCACTTCAAACCTATACAGGTAGTTTTCTAAGGGACACATTCACTTCCTCCTATGTTGTCCTTATTCAGGCGGCAGACACTCAAGGCAAAACTACAGATCCAAACTTCCGGCCTCTCTCAAGTGTTTTGCATTAACTGTTCCACAGTACAAGCACAATCAACTTGGTATGTTTGAATGTTTCATTTTGTTTTTTCAGAAATGTTTTAATTAAAACAAAATAATCAGCTATGCTAAGCACATTGTTATTTTTTAAAACGACTTTAAATATGACAACAGAACCATGGACATAAAAATTAACTGGTTAGGAAAGTCATAGAAGTTTGTTTTCTTCTTCTTCTTCTTTTTTTTTTTTTTCCTGGCTGTTTTTCTGTGTCAGGGCTGGTGCCACCTGCTGCCTGGGCTTTCCTCTGAGAAATAGATCTCTCAACGGTTTGTTCTAAGCAACATCTGCAGGCATAGTTGAACAAACCATAGGCCAGTTCCAAGGCAGGCACTATTTATGTAGTGTACACTGAACCATGCTGAATTTCTCTTTAGGACATTTTCAAGGTGTTTTTGTTTGTTTGTTTGTTTGTTTTTGAGACAGGGTCTTGCTCTGTTGCCCAGACTGGAGTGCAGTGGCACAATCTCAGCTCACTGCAACCCTGACCTCCCAGCTCAAGTGATCCTCCCACCTCAGCCTCTTGAGTAGCTAGGACTACACGACATCTGTCTAATTTTGGTTTATTTTTTGTAGAGACAGGGTTTTACAGAGACAGGGTCTCACTATGTTGCCTAGGCTGGTCTCAAACTCCTGGGCTCAAGGGATCCATTCACCTGAGCCTTCCAAACTGCTGGGATTACAGGCTTGAGCCACTGCACCTGGTCTAAAAGTCCTATTAAAGACCCAAATGTACGTGCACAAACTTTTCCCCATACGTATCTTTTTAAAAAAAAATTGTAGTAAAATATTAACATAAAATGTACCATTTTAACCATTTCTCCCATATGTATCTTAAAGTTAGTTAACAGTAAATGGTAAAAGTTTCATTCATTCACCAAAATCAAGCCTCCTTCTCACCTTTTCTAGACCAGTGAACACTGAAAAAAATCAGAAGACATGGACCTTGAACAGAACTCAGCAAAGCACAGCCTGTGGCCCAGATCTGGCTCACTGCCTGTTTCTGTATGGCCCACAAGCTAAGACTTAAAAAATCTATAATTTTAAAAATATTTTAGTTTTGAAAAATCAAATGAACAATATTTTGTTAACATAAAAATTATAGGAAATTCCCAGCCTGGGCAACATGGTGAAACCCCGTCTCTACTAAAAATAAAATACTAGCCAGGCATGGTGATGCATGCCTGTTATCCCAGCTACTTGAGAGGCTGAGGCAGGAGAACTGCTAGAACCCGGGAAGCGGAGGTTGCAGTGAGCCGAGATTGCGCCACTGCACTTCAGCTTGGGTGACAGAGTGAGACTCCGTCTCTTTAAAAAAATAAATAAAAATAGGAAATTCAAATTTCAGTGTCCATAAAGCCTTACTGAAACACTGTCACACCCATTCATTTGTCTTTTGTCTGTGCTGCTTTTGCCCTACAGAGTTGAATAATTGCAACACAGATAGTATAAGGCCCATGAATCTCATATTATTTACTGTCTTCCTCTACAAAAAATGCTTGCCCACACCTGACCTAGATTATCAGTTGACATTTCCAGACTCAAAAATTCTAAACTAAGGATGGTATATTCCCCATCACCAAAAATCCCTAATCTGTATATTGTGAAGCTATTTAAAGCAATATATTTTATCTTACTCATTTATTGCTTTTGGTCTAACTATGCTAAACCATGAGTTTATCAATAATATCTGTATTGATATACAAGAAGTGCATCAACTTTCTGTTTATGAGTAGTGAGCCTAAAAGGAATGCTTTCTTGCTTTAAGATTTATAAAGGGACTCATTGCCTATCTCAAATACTTTTTATTTATTTGTTTATTTTGAAACAGAGTTTTGCTCTTATTGCCCAGGCTGGAGTGCAATGGTGTGATCTCAACTCACCGCTACCTCTGCCTCCTGGGTTCCAGCGATTCTCCTGCCTTAGCCTCCCAAGTAGCTGGGATTACAGGCACGTGCCACCATGCCCGGCTAATTTTTTGTATTTTTAGTAGAGATGGGGTTTCACCATGTTGGCCAGGCTGGCCTTGAACTCCTGACCTCAGGTGATCCGTCTGCCTTGACCTCCCAAAATGCTGGGATTACAGGTGTGAGCCACCGCGCCCGGCCTCAAAGATTTAAATGGTTTGTCTAGGGACTAAAGTATATTTTCACAAAAATATCAGAGGTCTTTGATAGCAGGTCGAAATGGTGTTTCTTAAAATACTCAGAGTATGCAAGTAACTGGTATGCACCCTTCACTCCTTCACTGCTTCAGCCCCCATGTCGCTTACAGGTAATTCTATTAGCATTAATGAAGTCCCCAAGAGAACCAAGAATTGGTAGACAGTATGAAGCTCTAGCTGTTAACTGAACTCATAGGTTTTAGGGCAAACACACTACTGGCTAGTGGGGCAAATTCCAGATGAGGAGGTAGAGGAGAATGAGCATCAGTCTATAAACTTATAAAAGGTATTCACAGCAAACATAACCTGAGTGGAGAAGCTCTGTTGATGTGCACCTAATAGACCCTAAAGGTAGTAAAATACTCAAGTGAGTAGACCATAAATTCCATAAATTCCAGATGGGACCTACTACAGAGAACCTCTCGACCACATGGCCCTGGTTGCACTCCTCCTTGAAGGAAAGTCTAGATTCCATTACCTTCTACTTTCCTTCTTATGAGTTGTGAAGGAAGGAAGAGAATCTTAGAGGAAGAATGAAAAGAAGGGAGATCATTTGGGGTTGGCTACACATTGTAATTAGAAGTAGGATTGATGGGGAATGAGCTAACTGTTTTTATAAAGTCAGCATTCAAAAATGCAAACCACCAGTAATTTAAATATTACAAAATTGTGCAGAATATAAATATTGAAATAATTTTTTCCATCCACAAAATTTTAGAGAAAATTACAGTATCAAAAAATATAAAATGGCAAGTTTGGCATATCCTCAGAGTAAAGTGTGTGTGTGTATGTGTGTGTGTGTATGTGTGTGTGTTTTATTGGGAAGGATTTTAAAAGCTAGTGAGTAGGATCTAGACAGGATGTGTTGGTGAAGACCATGGGGTATCTCCCTAAAATTGCTTCTGCAACTAGACAGGAAAAGTCAAAAAAGCAAAGCACTGAGTTATCAGGACGGTAAGGCACCAAGCTGGCAAGGCTCAGTGAGTTGGGAACTTGGGCCACTTATCACAAATTATTTCACAACGATTATTTGCCCCTACCCCAGACTCCTAAATAAAAGTACACCAAAATTTGGGGTGCAAACTTGATAAGAGATGCTGCATTTGACCTTAAAAAAGCAAAGATATCTGGGAAGAGACTAGCTTCCAACGAGCTTAAGGAGAGTTGGCTCACTTGATGCAAATCAGAGCTGCTGCTCTGCCCTTTCCAGAAGGGGAACCAGTCTATTTCCACCCATACCTCTCTCTTTGTAGGGGACATTAAACCCTGACCACACAGATAGCAAAGTGGAGCTAAGGGGTTACCAGGTTACAGTCATGTTGACATATCCTGGCTCTCGGAATGTCCCTCACTCCTCACAACAGTAGAAGTGATCATACTGTAGAAGTCCCATAAAAGACGGTGATCACTCAGAAACCACTTACTGAGCCTCAGGTTTACAACACTTGGAGACCCCAGTTCTACTAATTTAAAGCCAAGCTTAGCCTTTTACAGAAATGAATCAGACCGAAAGCTCTTAGCATTCCCAGGGTAAATGAGGTGTCTAGCACTCGATGAACTGTGAGGCCCTATAAAAGTATTATTAAAATATGTTTATTGACTCCCTCCTATATGCGGGTATGTTACCTACAGTATATCATTTAATCTTCACAACACTCTGCAAAGAAGTTATCCTGTCTTTACAGATGAGGAAACTGAGGCTCAGAGAGCTGAAGGCATGGCCCAAAGTCACCCAGTAAGTGACAACACCAAGTCCTAGCTTTTTCGCTAATCCAAGCCAATGAGTAAACAAAGCAACTCTGAGTTTTCTTACACCAGCAAAATCCCATCCTTTCCAACATCAGTCTGTGACTTTGGGTGGAGAACCCAGAGGCGGGTTTTCCTACTCCTGCAGACTGGTAATAAACTCTTCCCATCCCTTTCACAAATGGCCTATGCTCAACACCCAAACAGCCTGCAGAGAAATGCAACGCCCTCTTGCCTTCTCTTCCACTTAGAAAGGATTCGGCTACAAGGTTGCGTGTGGAAGTTAAGCAAAAGCCAAGCTTCATCCTGGTCCAGGGCCTCACCTCGGGAAGACCTGGCCTTGGCCTTGGCCTGGGTAGTGAGTGACCTGTCTAAGGTGTGGGCTGACCCAAAACACGGAGCTCGGCGTTGCACCCTCAGGAAGAGCACCCTAAACTCAGTTGGGGAGAAGTTTCCCATCACTGCTTCCTTTTTTCTCTCCCCCTTCTGCGCCATCACCTGAGTCATAGGGAAGTTCAAAGCGGCCCAGCGGAGAGAGAGGGCACGTCCCGTCCGTCTGGGTACAAGGTCGTCCCAGGACCCTAACCTGCCTCTAGCAGGGCGAACAAGTCCATCCCGTTCCTCGCGAGGCAGAAGTTATAATGTCCGCCAAGCGGGTGCAGCCGAGGACTCGGGAAAAGGGGCTGAGCGCCGGCTCCTCCCGCCTCCGCTCTGCTCTGCGCGGGGAGGCGCCGGGTTCCACCGGTGTAGGCGGGAGGAGAGGACTGGGGGACGCGGGGGCGTCGCAGTGAGGCTCAGGGAGGGGACCTTGGCCCAGGGGAGGGATGTCGCTGGAGGTCTCGGAGAGGGGCGTATAGCCTCTTGTAGCGGGGGAGTCGTCCCGGTGCAAGGTGCGTCGATGAAGGACTTGGGGCGGGATCCCAGGAGGTACTGGGGAGCAGGGGTCGTCCCGGCCCGGGAGGGGTCGCTGGGGACTTGGGGACGGGATCCCAGGAGGTACCGGGGAGCAGGGGGCCTCCTGGCCCGTGGGGAGTCGCTGGGGATTTTGGGACGGGATCCTAGGAGGTACCGGGGAGCAGAGGACGTCCCGGCCCGGGGGAAGTCGCTGGGGACTTGGGACGGGATCCCAGGAGGTACCGGGGAGAGGGGGCGTCCCGGCCTGGTTGGGGTCGCTGAGGGACTCGGGCAGCGGGTCCCAGATCCCGAGACAGAGAAGATGTCCCAGCCCGGGGGGCGTCGCAGAGGGTCTTGGAAGACTCAAGGCGGAGAGGGCCTCCTGGGCTGAGGGGCGTCGCTGAGGAGCACCGGGTCCTGCAGCCGGGGGACAGTACCGGGCCCGGGGGCGTCGATGACGGGCCTGGGGGTAGCCCGGGTCCCAGGAAGGGACCATCCCGGCCTGAGGGGCGTCGCCTAGGGGCGAGGGGAAGGGGCCCGGAAGGTCCTGAAGCGGGAGGGAGGGGGCTCTCAGGCCGGCCGGCCCTTGTCGCCCCTCGAGTGGGCTCCGCTCAGGGCGGGCGGCGGGGGGTCGCTCACACTCACCGGGTCCGGGGCCGAGGCCGGGGCTAGGCGCGGGCCGGGCCGCCAGCGTGAGCGCCGCGGCGGAGAGCAGGGCGAGGCGGGCGGCTGGCGGCGCCATGGGCCGTCAGTGCGGGGCCCCGGGGCGCGGCCCGGGGTAAAGGGGGCAGCGCGGGGAGCCGGGGGCGGCCATGGGAGCAGGACGCGGGGCCCGAGTGTAGCCCCGCCCCGGCCGCCCGGCCGCCCCGCCCCGGCCCGCCCAGCTCAGCGCCGCCACCGCCCCTGCAGCCTGGGGCCCGCCCGGATCCGCGGAGAGGCCCGGGGGGCGGAGCCCACTGCGCACGCACGCCCCGCCCCGGCCGCGCGCTGCTCCTGCCACTCACGCATCAGGCCCCGCCCATCTCTCGCCTCACCTGGGCCGGCCCAGCAGGGCCCTCTGTTTGTCCCATCCAAGGGTAGGATCAGCAGGTGAGGGGCGGGGCCTCGGCCCGGCCTCCAAGTCACCAAGCGGTTTGGCCGGGCTGAAATAGGCCGGGCTCCCAGTGACCCCTGCTCCACCCTCACTTAGGTCGTGACCCACGCGCGAGCTCAGCTACAGCGGTAATAATTACAACAGCAGTTTGCAAACTGTTTTCCCTTGCTTAGCTCATCGTAATGGTTAAAAAAAGAATGCTTTGGAGAGTTCACATCCCACTTGGTCACATGTAACACCTTGGACAGGTTTAAAGGAAAAATAGCTCTTACCTCAATTTCCTCATCTGTTAAATGGAGGTGATAATAGCTGCTACTCCTCAGAGCGCTTGCACTAAATAAGAATGCCTACAGCCGAGTGCGGTGGCTAACAACTCCTGTGATCCCAGCACTTTGGGAGGCCGAGACGGAAGAATCGCTTGAGCCCAGGATTCTGAGACCAACCTGGGCAACACAGCGAGACCCCATCTCTACAAGAAAAAAATAAATAACTCAGTGGTCCCAGCTACTCAGGAGACTGAAGCAGGAGGATCGCTTGAGCCCTGGAGGTCGGGCTTGCAGTGAGCCTTCTTCGCACCACTGCACTCCAGCCTGGGTGACAGAGCAAGACCCTGTCTCAAAAACAAAAACAAAAACAAAAAAAAACCAAAACGAAAGCATGGAAGCTTTTACGCACGCAGAGTAGGAGTTCAGCAAATGTTGAATTTCTTTCTCCACCCCAAGTTTGCAGCCACATACTGACCCCTGGTTCCGTATCTTATCACATAGCCAGTTTCAACCAGGGCAACTTTCCTGATCTGTCTGAGGCTCAGCCGTTTGCAGAATAGGAATAATAAAAGGCCTTCAGAGGATTCGATGAGATAGAAGCAAGTAAAACGCCCAACGCAACGTCCAGAAATGGATGAGACAGTACTGCTTATCCTACAGCCTGGGATGTTAGGGATCAGAGAGCGCGCGGCTTGCTTAAACTTTCGGCCCCAGCGTGGTAGGCCCTTTGCCCGCCTCCCCCCGCCCCGACCCCGGCAAGGTCTTCCCCTGCCGCACCCGGGGTCGGTCGTGGGCCGTCCTCCTCCCCCGCCCTCCCGCCAGGCAGAGGGGATTTTCCTACAGTTCCCGCCTAAAGCGCAGCGGTGACGCCCGGCGGGGCAGGTCCAGGCGGCGCGCCGGGCGCTTTCAAGTCCCTGGTCCCGGGCTTGCAAGTGCAGACCTGCGCCCGGCGCGGCGGCGGGAACATCTGCACCAGTGTGCAGACTCGCCGCACCCAGAGCGCGGCTGGGCGGGACCGGCACGCCTTGGGTACACTCGCCCCTGGGCCCCCTCAACCCCCGGGCGCCACCCCCTTATCCACTCCCAGAGCCCGCGTACCCCCAAACTCCTTTCCCCACCCACGGCTGCTCGCAGGGCCGGGCCCCAAGGGCGCAGCTACCTCCCACGAGGCCTCTCGATCTCTGTCCCTCTCCACCCACACGACTCAGCGCTGTAGCAAGAAGAATCTTGTTCAGTTATTGTTTTCATGTGTCATTCCCGAGTTCAAGGATCCTCTGGGCCTCTTATTGGAACTTAGGGGCACCCACCATCCCCTCACCCAGCCAGCCTCGGTCCTGGGGACCGCCCCCCCCACCTCCTGCCACCGGTGATCCCCACTTTTGTCCAGCTTTCCCCTTTTCCACAATTTTGGGCCCTTCCCACCTTCTCCACCGGACCTGAGAACCCTTATTCCAGGACTTCTGTGCCCTCCCAGACAGCAGTGCCTTTGAAGAGAATGAAATGAGAAGATGCAGGTGAAGCTCTCAGCCCAAAGCAAACACTCAATAAAGTCGAACTTTCCTTCGTTCAGCAAATATTCAGCGAGGAACATGCCAAGGGCTGAGGATACAGCCACCAAGACCAAACCTTCCTCTTGGAACTTACATTCTAGTCAACCTGAAAACACACAAATTCCGAAGAACAAAAAGTACTGCAAAGACAAGAAAATTATGTTGACCACATGTTCTGTGGATTTTTTTTCTTTTTCTTTTTCTGGAGACAGGGCCTCCGTCTGTCGCCCACACTGGAGTGCAGTGGTGAGATCATGGCTCACTGCAGCCTCCAATTCCTGGGCTCCAGTGATCCTCCCGCTTCAGCCTCCTGGATAGCTGGGACTACAGAGGCATGCCACCACACCTGGCTAACCTTTGGACTACTTTAAGCAGGATGCCAGAGAAAGACTTCAGCAAAGCAGGACACAGGTCTCTCCAGTTCACAAGGTTCTTTCTGCATCTCATTCAGGTTTCAGAGGAGAAAATAGGAAGGGCACCCAGGAGGTTGGAAACAAAGTTTATTTGGCCAAGTCTGGGCAGCCATGCCTTGTGATAGTAGCTTTGGTCTGTCCTGCCTGCTGCGGGAAGGCACCCCTCCTGGGCTGGCAGCAGCCCCTCCTCCAATTGGCTCTCTCTGTCATGTACACTGCTTAGGACCAGCCATATAATTGGCATGACACAGTGAGAAATGAAAATGTATGTCCTTTGTCCAAACTTATTAAGAATTTCAAGACAGGCCAGGCGCTGTGGCTCACGCCTGTAATCCCAACATTTAGGGAGGCCAAGGCAGGTGGATCACCTGAGTTCAGGAGTTTGAGACCAGCCTGGCCAACATGGTGACACCTCATCTCTACTAAAAACACAAAAAATTATCCGGGCTTGGCGGTAGGTGCCTGTAATCCCAGCTACTCAGGAGGCTGAGACAGGAGAATTGCTTGAACCTGGGAGGTGGAGGTTGCAGTGAGCCAAGATCGTGCCACTGCACTCCAGCCTGAGTGACAGAGCAAGACTCCATCTCAAAAAAAAAAAAAAAAAAAAGAATTTCAAGACAGTGACAGCAGAAGATGAAAAGATAAAGCATGTGTGGGGCCCTTCCAAGCAAGGGGGCCTATGTTGATATACAGGTTGCACGCCCATGAAAATGGTCCTATTGTACAACAGGACTCAGAAATTTGTGTGCAAGCTCCTCCTGGCACTGGCTGCAGTGAAAAACATCCCTCTAACCTTCTCCACCCCCACCTTCTCTTTTCCAGCTGAAAGCCCAGCACAGGTGATGGAAACAGTGCACAAGAGGCTAAAAATACAGCCCAGCACGTCTAGGTCATGGCACTTAACAGCTCAAGGTCTTTTGTGGTCCTGGCTTCTGGCAGAGAGCAACCCGGGATACTCATTTCAGTGCTTTACATGCCTGGGGTGTTTAGCAGCTTTATTTCATGGAAAGAGTGAGGACACTGAATGCAGCTCCTGGGCCTCCAGAAAGATGTTGGTGTCCGTTTGTCTGTTTGCACTGTGCAAGTAAGGCCCCTTTCTTCCTCCGAGGGCAGCAGGATTGGCCAAGAAGCCAGGAGACCTACAATGTTGGAGTTTGGGTCATTCAACTGTCTTTGAAACTCCAGTTGGGATGATTTCTGCTCAAAGGGCAGTCATTTTATGGAAAGAGCCCTGGAGGAGGGGGCCTGATTATAATGACAGCAATAGCAAATGTTTACTGCAGACTTGACTAAGGCTATGCAGGGTGTCTACGGTTGCATTTCACAAAATCCGCCCAGTAGCCTTATGAGGGAGGCATTCTTACCAGCCCCACACCCACCCCAGAACAAAGAGAGATTAAATGACTTGCCCAAAGGTGACATCGTGTTAGAGCTGGGCTTTGAACCCAGGCAGTGGAACCCTAGTCTTACCCTCACAAGTACCAGGCTGGGCCAGGGGTGGTGGCTCACACCTGTAATCCCAGCACTTTGGGAGGCCGAGGCAAGAGGATCACAAGGTCAGGAGTTCAAGACCAGCCTGACCAACATAGTGAAACCCCATCTCTACAAAAATACAAAAACTAGCCAGGTGTAGTGGCGGGCGCCTGTAGTCTCAGGTACTTGGGAGACTGAGGCAGGAGAATGGCTTGAACCCAGGAGACAGAGGTTGCAGTGAGCCGAGATCGTGTCACTGCCCTCCAGCCTGGGAGACAGACCAAGACTCCATCTCAAAAAAAAAAAAAAAAAAAAAAAGTACCAGGTTGAGCCACCTCCTTGTCTTTTTTGTTTTAAAGACAGGGTCTTGCCGGGCACGGTGGCTTACGCCTGTAATCCCAGCACTTTGGGAGGCCGAGGTGGGCAGATCATGAGGTCAGGAGATCGAGACTATCCTGGCTAACATGGTGAAACCCCGTCTCTACTAAAAATACAAAAAATTAGCCGGGCATGGTGGCAGGTGCCTGTAGTCCCAGCTACTCAGGAGGCTAAGGCAGGAGAACGGTGTGAACCCGAGAGGCAGAGGTTGCAGTGAGCCAAGATCACACTACTGCACTCCAGCCCAGGCAACAGAGCAAGACTCCGTCTCAAAAAAAAAAAAAAAAGAAATTTAAAGACAGGGTCTTGAGCCCGGGCAGGATGGCTCGTGCCTGTAATCTCAGCACTTTGGGAGGCTGAAGCGGGTGGATCACTTGAGGTTAGGAGTTCGAGACCAGCCTGGCCAACATGGTGAAACCCCATCTGTAAAAAATAAATAAATAAATAAAAATTAGCCAGGTGTCAGGGCATGCGCCTATAATGTCAGCTACTTGGGAGGCTGAGGCAGGAGAATCACTTGAACCCGGGAGACAGAAGTTGTAGTGAGCAGAGATAGTGCCATTGTCCTCCAACCCAGGCAAGAGTGAGACTCTGTCTCAAAAAAAAAAAAAAAAAGACGGGGTTTGATATGTTTGATATGTTGCCCAGATTGGATTGCAGTGACTATTCACAATCATGGCACACTACAGCCTCGAATTCCTGGGCTCCAGCAATCCTCTCACCTCAGACTCAGTAGCTGGGGCTACAGATGCTTGCTACTGTACCTGATGCCTCCTTATTCTGTCATTAGGCCAGGTATGGTGGCTCACATTTGTAATCCCAGTACCTCGGGAAGCTGAGGTGGGAGGATCTCTTGAACCCAGTATTTTGAGGTTACAGTGAACGAGGATACAGCCACTGCAACCCAGCCTGGGCAACAAGAAAGCCAGACCCTGTCTCTAAAATTAATAATAATAGCCTGGGCACGGTGGCTCATGGTTGTAATCTCAGTACCTTGGGAGTCCGATGCTGGCAGATCACCTGAGGTCAGGAGTTCGAGTCCAGCCTGGCCAATATGGCAAAACCCCAGTTCTGCTAAAAATACAAAAATTAGCCGGGCGTGGTGGCTCATGCCTGTAATCCCAGCTACTTGGAAGGCTAACGCAGGGTTCAGCTACTTGAACCCTGGTGGTGGAAGTTGCAGTGAGCCAAGGTCATGTCACTGCACTCTAGCCTGGGCGAGAAAGCGAGAGTCTGTGTCAAAAAAGAAAGAAAAGAGAAGAAAAAAGAAAATTAATAATAATAATTAATAAAAAATAAAATAATAGGTTTCTGTCACCAAATGCTTACTGAGTGGTCCAGAGCTGGGACTGGAATGGGGCAAGTGAAGTATGTGCCTCAGGCACAGAGTTTAAGAGGATTTTTAGAAAACACAATAAAAAATCCAGTAATCAAGATAAATATTATTTAATAGATATTTTATACATTTAATAAATATATTTAGTAAATAGTATTTAATGCAATATTTTAAAATAATTTTTTAACATCTAAATGAATGCAAAAAAATCCATTATGAACAGACTGTCCCAGCTTTAAATGAAGATAGGATCTGTATTCCCGATTTTCCTTCAGCCTCGGGTTTGAGGCTGCACTGTATCATTACTGAGTCTCCCAGGATTCTGGCTCAGACAACTAGTCATGGGAAATTCAAGAGAGGCAGTCATTTGCTTGTTCTGATGGGGGTGAAGGAAGAGAAAGACTCTGGTCTTGAACATAATGAGTTAGAGTTGTCTGTGGGGCATCCAGGTGGGCACCTCTGAAGACTCACAGTAGGGTTTGGGTTAGCATTGAGGAGGCGTTGGCTGGGCGCGGTGGCTCCCGCCTGTAATCCCAGCACTTTGGGAGGCCGAGGCAGGTGGATCACCTGAGGTCAGGAGTCCAAGACCAGCCTGGCTGACATGGTGAAACCCTGTCTCTACTAAAAATACAAAAATTAGCTGGGCATGGTGGTGAGTGCTTGTAATCCCAGTTACTCAGTAGGCTGAGGCAGGAGAATTGCTTGAACCCAGGAGGCGGAGGTTGCAGTGAGCCAAGATCGTGCCACTGCACTCCACCCTTGGCAGCAGAGCGAGACTGCATCTCAAAAAAAAAAAAAAAAAAAAAAAAAAAAAAAAAAAAAAAGAAAAGAAAAGAAAAGAAAGAAAGAAAGAAAGGAGGAAGTGTGGGACATCTGCGGGAGTCAGGTGAGAACTGGTGGGAAGGCACACAGGACACCATTATTTTGCATACTTGGCCCATGATTGGTGCATATTCAGCACATGTGGTCCAAATCATTGGTCCTCCGAGTTTGCATCACAGTTCAGGAATCTTTTCCAATTCTTTCCCATCCAAAGTGTTTCTCTTTTGCATCATGAACCTCAGATATGTTCCCACATGGGTATGGAAGTTTACTGCTTGGGTGTTAAAACAAAAACATCTGAGGAAATTAAAAGCAACTAAATTCCACTAGAATTGCATGGGTGGGGCAGGGCCATAAAGGTGGAAGACAAGAATTAATAGAAATTGACTCAATTTCTTCTTTATTAGCTGATCCACCAGAAGGAGAATAAGAGCTAAGAGAAGCTAAAAAGAAGAAAGGTCGTAGTAAAGGAAAGACAAAAAAAAAAGGAAGAAGGAAGATTATACGAGCTAAAAATACTGTGAGGAAAGTTTGGCTAAACATCAAAGAAGGACAGATGTGTTTGCAAATAGAAGCGGTGGTTTAGATATGTCAGGAAGCACAGCTCCAAATGATGGGTGGAAAATAAAGGTTAGTGAGACTGAGCTCAGCAGAATAAAAAAGCTTCATGGGAGAATCAAACTAAGGAAGAGGTCTTTCAGCAACATGGAAGCCCTACTGCTTCAACCCCGAGTTCCCCAGATCAAGTGCTGGCACCCATGATGGAAACTCTTGCCATGGTTTTAGTACCCTGGACCAAGTAGTCATTCCATCCTGACTTTAAAATTCTAAACAGCCTTTGATGGGACAATCTCTGCTAAAGACTAACCACTTCCTTATCTTATCTTCAGCTACCTGCTTCCCTTTCCGTTTAACAAAGCATAGAATATTCTGAACAACTCCCGTAACCAGGGGATGTAGCTCCTCTACATTCAACACTTCTGTGAGGTCAATCGATCTGACAAATATATAATGAAGATGGATCATGAAAGTCTGATACCCAAGTCAGATCAGAAACTTTCCCTACTTCCAAGAGGCTCATTGCTTGGCCTCATACACTAGATTTTTTTTTCTTTGTTCTTTTTCTTTTTTGTAGAGATGGGGTCTTGCTTTGTTGCCCAAGCTCATCTTGAACTCCTGGATTCAAGTGATCCTTCTGCCTCAGCCTCCCAAAGTGCTGGGATTATAGGTGCGAGCCACCACACCGGCCATAAACCAGATTGATGTACATGAATGACCTGAGACAAAGATCATATCAAATGTTGCATTACATCACTTAGACCATGAGCAACAGGAGCTCAAGAAAGGGTCAGATGAGTAAATGGACCATAATATTAATAACATTCACATGGTCAGGCGCAGTGGCTCACGCCTGAAATCCCAGCACTTTGGGAGGTGAAGGCTGGTAGATCACGAGGTCAGGAGTTCGAGACCAGCCTGGCCAACATGGTGAAACCCCCATCTCTGCTAAAAATACAAAAATTAGCCGGGCGTGGTGGTGCACACCTGTAATCTCAGCTACTCGGGAGGCTGAGGCAGGAGAATTGCTTGAACCCAGGAGGCGGAGGTTGCAGTGAGCTGAGAATGTGCCATTGCACTTCAGCCTGGGTGACAGATTGGGACTCCATCTCAAAAAAATAAATAAGTAAAAAATAACTTTCACATGGGTTAGGTGTGTTGGTTCACAGCTGTAGTCCCAGCACTTCGGGAGGCCAAGGAGGATCACTTGAGACCAGGAGTTCCAGACTAAGCTGAGCAACACAGGGAGACCTCATCTCTACAAAAAAAAAAAAAAAAAAAAAAAAAAAAAAAAAAAAAAAAAAAAAATCACTGGGCAAAAACAAGCCTGTGATCCCAGCTACTTGGGAGGCCAAAGTGGGAGGATTGCTTGAGCCCAGGAGGTCGAGGCTCTCATGAGCCGTGATCACACCACTGCACTCCAGCCTGGGTGACAGACTGAGACCCTGTCTTGAAACAAAAACAAAAACACAAAAAAGCAAATATTCATTGAGTGCTTACTATATACACCAGGAGCCATGCCAAGTATTTCAGATGCATTGTCCCACTTCAAACTCACAATAACCCTTAGGTAGGCAGTATGACTAGGCCCATTTCACAGCTGAGGAAATTAAGGTTCAGGGGTATGAATTCACTTGCCTAATGAAAGATGGATCTGGGATGCCATCACAGGCAGATTCCCTCCTGGGCCTAGAGAAAGTCTCATGACAAGGACAGGACTAGAACTGGGCCCGGGTATGGTAGATGGATGGGCTGACCAACAGAGAGGCCAGGCATCACGGTGATAACTGTGAGTGTTTAAGAACAGGGGCAGTAGGGCTGGGTGTGGTGATTCACACCTGTATTCCTAGCACTTTGGGAGGCCAAGGCAGGTGGATCACCTGAGGTCAAGAGTTTGAGACTAGCCTGGCCAACATGGTGAAACCCCATCTCTACTAAAAATACAAAAATTAGCCCGGCATGATAGTGCGTGCCTATAATCCCAGCTACTTGGGAGGCTGAGGCAGGAGAATCCCTTGAACCTGGGAGGTGGGGGTTGCAGTGAGCCAAGATCGTGCCACTGCACTCCAGCCTGGGTGACAAGAGTGAAACTCCGTCTCAAAAACAAAAACAAAAACAAGGGCAGTATAGACTTTGGTTGGGTTCAGCCTTTGTTGGTTACTTGAGGCATGATACTTGAGCAACTTGTGCCTCAGTTTCTTTATCTGTAAAACAGGGAACAGTGCTCAAACTCATAGGATGGTTGGTAGCATTTCATGACATGATGCTAATAAAGTGGCTAGAACAGTGCCTGGCCTTCAGGAAGCATTCAATAAATATTAGTTTTATTGACATAGGAGAAATAGCTTAGAACAAAGTACCCTGGGTTAGTTCTAAGGAAGGCTGAGGGTTACCTGTTGTGGCATAGTCAATTGAAGTGAGTTACAATGAAGGCAGAGAAGGCAGAATTTGATAGAACTTGAAGAGTATGTATCAAGTGCTGCCCATGTGAACAGCTCTCTGCTGGAAGAAGGAGATTGAGGCTGAGCACAGGCTCACGCCTGTAATCCCAGCACTTTGGGAGGCCAAGGTGGGTGGATCACTTGAGGCCAGGAGTTTGAGACCAGCTGGGCCAACATGGTGAAAACTCATCTCTACTAAAAATACAAAAATTAGCTGGGCTTGGTGGTCCGCGCCTGTAATCCCAGCGTCTTGGGTGGCTGATGCACGAGAATTGCTTGAACCCCAGGAAGCGGAGGTTGCAGTGAGCCGAGATCGCACCACTGCACTCCAGCCTGGGGGACAGAGTGAGTAAAAGACCAAGCAGAGTCATTGAGTAAAAGACCTAGCAGAGTAAATCTAACGGATGAGTGTGTGGAAAGATGAGGTGCAGGAAAGCCAAACTCAAGATGGAGAAGGAGAAAAGAGAAACAGATGACCTACTCCTATTATGCCTTTTTTTGCTTGACATTTCCCTCCTGTCCCTGCTTTGCAGAGTAAAGACAGATGGTAATTTCCAGGTAGCCCAGGAGCCCGGTGCCATTTTTCCAAGACTGACCAGCTTTGAAAAGACTCTTGCCTGCCCAGTCTCCAGACATTCGCAAACTCTTCCCAAAGACAAACCCTTTCCAAAGCCCTGCTCTAAAATCGACCCAGCTCTTAGGAGGTGAGGCCAGGGCTCGCCACTGAAAGGGAGCAATTGTCCTCTCAACTGTCTGTGGGTCCAGCTGCCATAGGCCTGGAGGTGGTTCCACCACAGCCTGTGGTGCGGTCCGCCTGCAGGCTCTGATTCACTCCAGGGACAACACTTAAAAACGCAAGCAGGCAACACATGCGATTCCAGGAGCCCCTGCCAGATTCATACTCTGTTTTTCCATCATTTCACTGGCCTCCCCCTCAGGAGGGAGGCTCCTGAGGCATTTTACAAATAAAAGAATCAAACCCACCAACAGGACGAGCACCTGATAAGCAGTGAGGCATTGCCCAAGAGTTCCCAGGAAGAGGCGGCTTTGTTCTCCTTTCAAGCCCTTGACACTGCTAACAGCTCTAATTACTGCATTTGCCATGGGATGTAAAAGAAACCCACATTCCAGAAACCATGTAGTCTTCCCGGGAGAGACATGCAGGGAAAGGTGCCCAGGTCTGCAGGAACGTGTTCTTTCATTCCTGGTCCCTAACCTTGGCAGCTGTTCTGAGAACTTAACAGTGCCTCCTTTATGTACATGAAGGAGGGCACTTTTGCACATGTAGGGATGCATCTCACTACCCATATCCCCAAATCTGGTCTGCATATTTGACTACATTTCCTGCAAAACATACTTCTTAAGAACATGAAGATCTTCAAAATTCATCCAAGCCATTTTGGGGGAAATGAGGACTTCAGAAGTTTCTGAGGCTAGAAGCAAAACCGTATAGAACTTCTTCCCACATAATTTAACTATAAAATCTGATGATGTAACACCCACCCACACCCACATCACAAACCAAAGTGACATCACAAATACTAGAGATAATGGCTCAAAGCTGCCTGCATTGAGCCCACATCTAAACAAACAGCAATTTGCCCATATGTGACTAAGGCAGAGAAAGACAGGTGACTAGAAATATTAAAACAAAAACAAAAAAAAAGAGAGAGAGAGAAAAAGGAAAGAGAAAATACATATTTCTTCCCCTTACTAAGCTAGCGAAAATAAAATTTAAGGCAACTGAAATATGGTAAGGTGATTTTATTTCTATAGATGACATTTCTTAGAAAGCCAGATCTCTTTAAATATGTGATTCTAATCTATCCAAATTGTTCTGTTGCTCTTAGTTGGTCCCAGGAAATGGAGGCCGGCAGCATTAATGTTTTCGTGTTGCTTTTATGGTCCCCAGAGTATATTGATTTCCCTGTGAATGAGCTCTTCTTGGTGCATGGCAGTTGGTTAGAAAGTGTATTCAGCCGAACATGGTGGCTCATGCTGGTAATCCCAGCACTTTGGGAGGCTGAGGCGGGCGGATCATCTGAGGTGGGGAGTTCGAGGCCAGCCTGACCAACATGGAGAAACCCTGTCTCTACTAAAAATACAACATCAGCTGGGTGCGGTGGTGCATGCCTGTAATCTCAACTACTTCGGAGGCTGAGGCAGAAGAATCCCTTGAGCCCGGGAGGCGGAGGTTGCAGTGAGCCAAGATCACGCCATTGCACTCCAGCCTGGGCAACAAGAGCTAAACTCCGTCCCCCCCACACACAAAAAAAGAAAGTGTAAAGCGTATTCAGGGCTTGGCAGAACTTACCGGCTGTCATGTCTGTGTTGCAGCATGGTTGAGTGTCTACAGCTCATATGGAAGTCTTGAGTGACCCTGCCGTCCGTATCTTTCCAGCAGGCAGGAATTGTCTTCAATTCCTTGTGAACCCTCCCTGACCCCCGACTTCCTGCCCTGGCATGCTATGTTCTTTGAGAGCCTGAATATTACTGTAACCTTGTGGAGTGACTATCTCCTCCCTACTTGGTATAAAAGGCTTTGGTGAACAGGAGAGGACATATAGTAAATTTCTAAGAACTGGGTGGAAGGAATGGCCTATAAAAAGATGTTAATATTTTGCCTTCAAAGTAGACCTTTTATTCTCTGCTGAAGAACGGTCCTTTTAAAATTCATTTCTCCCTCCTTATAATTCTAGCACCCAATCAATGTGAGACGAGACCCCAGCATCCCTATCTATGGACTCCGACAGTCCATCTTATTAAATACCAGGCTTCAGGACTGCTATGTGGACTCACCGGCTCTCACCAACATCTGGATGGCCAGAACATGTGCAAAGCAGAACATTAATGCCCCAGCACCAGCTACCACTTCCTCTTGGGAAGTTGTAAGGAACCCATTAATTGCCAGTTCCTTCTCCCTGGTTAAGCTTGTACTCAGGCGGCAACTGAAGAATAAGTGCTGCCCACCACCATGCAAGTTTGGAGAAGGAAAACTCTCGAAGAGATTAAAGCACAAGGACGATTCAGTGATGAAAGCCACCCAGCAGGCCAGGAAAAGAAACTTCATCAGTTCCAAGAGCAAGCAGCCAGCAGGGCATAGGAGGCCTGCAGGAGGCATCAGAGAGGTAGACGAGGACCAGTGGTGGGGAAAATGTGACTGGCGAGGGGAGGGAAAAGGTAAAGCCAGAGAACACTTAACGGTTGAGATTATATGGCGTGCGGCTACCGCCTATAATCTCAGCACTTTGGGAGGCCAAGCAGGGAGGATCACTTGAGCTCAGAGAGTTCAAGACCAGCCTGGGCAACATAGGGAGACCTCATCTCTACTAAAAAAAAAAAAAAAAAGCCAGGCATGATGCACATGCCTGTGATCCCAGCTACTTGGGAGGCTAAGGAGGGAGGATTACTTGAACCCAGGAGGTTGAGGCTGCAGTGAGCCATGATTGCACTACTGCATTCCTGATTGGGCAACAGAGCAAGACCCTGTCTAAAAAATAAAAAAAAAAAAAAAAAAAAAAGAAAAGAAAAAAAGATCTATACCAAGTGAAGGAAATCCTAAAGTTGAAGACAGAATGTGGGGAGGAGGTGTAGCATGACAGAGTGGAAGAATGCCCCAGATTTTGGGGTCATGCTATTTATCATTTACACTATGCTTAGTTCTAGAGAAGGATGAGGTGGCTTTCATAAGCACAGACTTGACATGAAGGAAAAATAAGGGTGAGAAGGAAGGCTAGGATATGGGTAGTGCATGCTTGTGCACACACACACACACACACACAACCAGTGGTCAGCTATGGATCTGGATTGTGAGCGTCCACATGGAGAACTTGGCCTACGAAGGCCTGATTGGAATCCAGGTATGTTACCCCGTGGTGGCCAGCAGGCCATCAGGGTTCAAATCCCAACTCGGACTGTAATTGAGGACGACCTCGGGCTTAATTTCTTTGTGCCTTGATATTATCATATTAAATGGGGGATAACGGCCCTTCCCTCATAGGGCTTCATGAATGTTAAATAATACATGCAAAAGGCTTTTGAACAGAGCCTGGCAGAGGGTAAATAATTAGGATCTTGCGTGGCATTCAATAGATGACAGCTGTTATTAACCTTCTAGCTGTGTGGCCTTGGGCAAACCAATTCCAATTTCTTTGCCTATAAAGTTGTCTCCTGCTGACCTCACAGGGTTATGGGGAACACATGCAGTGGTATGTACATAAAGGAATTCAGTAAACTAGAACATGCTAGACAAATGTTGGTTGTTGCTGTAACCAAGACTCTGGGACACAAATCCCAGATAATTATTCTGAGCTCCCCTCTCAAGTTTTAGCTTTGACTTCTCTGCTTTCTTCCTGGCTAGAGTAAAGAAAGTTCAAAGGAGAAAAAACTAACAGTCCGCCAAGATCTTGAGGACAGATATGCTGAACATGTGGCTGCCACCCAAGCGCTACCCCAGGACAGTGGGACAGCAGCCTGGAAGGGCCGAGTGTTGCTTCCTGAAACCCAAAAGAGACAGCAGTTGTCGGAGGACACGCTAACCATCCATGGTCTCCCCACAGAGGGTTACCAGGCTCTGTACCACGCTGTGGTGGAGCCAATGCTGTGGAATCCTTCAGGGACCCCCAAGAGGTACAGCCTGGAGCTGGGCAAGGCCATTAAACAAAAGCTCTGGGAGGCTCTTTGCAGTCAGGGTGCCATCTCTGAAGGTGCTCAGAGGGACCGGTTCCCTGGCAGGAAGCAGCCAGGTGTCCACGAGGAGCCTGTACTCAAGAAATGGCCCAAGTTAAAGAGCAAAAAATAGGAACAAGAACTCATGGGATTAGAGTATTCTCTGCTAGAGATCTGAAAAATAAACACAACTTTGCACCTTCCGTGTTATCGCAGAGTGCTTTACAAATTAGCGACACCCTCTCAGGGGAAACAAAGAGGTACCAGATTCACTGAAGACCAAGGGTCCCTCTCCACTCATGATTAGGTAATTTTGAAGGGTAGATGCTTGGAATATTTTTCCTCCAAGGCCTTGAGAGTCTCTTAGTCTTCCAGGTAGGAAAAGACCTGACAGATAAAGCAGATGTTTTATATTCAGGCTATGGTTCCCTATTTCCTTCCTTCTTTCCCTTCCTTTTCTTTCTTTTGAGACAGCTCTGTCGCCCAGGCTGGAGTGCAGTGGCATGATCATAGCTCACTGCAGTCTCGACTTCCTGGGCTCAAGCAATCCCCCTGCCTCAGCCTCCTGAGTAGCTAAGACTACATTTGGACCCCAACACGTATAGCTTTTTTTTTTTCTCGGTAGAGAGATGGGGTCTCACTATGTTGCTGAGGCTGGTCTCCAACTCCTGCCTCAGGAGATCCTCCTGACTCAACCTCCTGAATAGCTGGGATTATAGGTATGAGCTCCCACGCCTGGCCATATGGTTCCTTATTTTTATAAAGTGGATGGCCGGGCGCGGTGGCTCATGCCTGTAATCCCAGCACTTTGGGAGGCCAAGGTGGGCAGATCATGAGGTCAGGAGATCGAGACCATCCTGGCTAACATGGTGAAACCCCGTCTCTACTAAAAATACAAAAAAAAAAAAAAAAAATTAGCCGGGCGTGGTGGGGAGCACCTGTAGTCCCAGCTACTCAGGAGGCTGAGGCAGGAGAATGGCTTGAACCTGGGAGGCGGAGTTTGCAGTGAGCCGAGATTGCGCCGCTGCACTCCAGCCTGGGCGACAGAGTGAGACTCTGTCTCAAAAATAAATAAATAAATAAATAAATATAAATAAAAAATAAAAAGTGGACCCCTAGGCTCAATCACTATCACTTTCCCTAGCTCCTTCTACATAGGGCTGAGCAGAAAGCCTACCATTCTCACAAGGATGTAAACCCACACACCTTATAACAGATGCTCTCCTGTGACACTGCCTAAACCCCCAATAACCTGGACTCTATATTAACAGGAGAGAAAGTTATATGAATGCTTCCATGGACGAGTAGAAGTTAAAAGTACTGCCCCATGCAAACCTCCCCTTGTTGAATCTGCAGACTTTTACTGAACAGACCAATGACAACATATAACACATACTTGATAAAATTGTATTTTTTTTTTACAGTCATGTGTACAATTTGTTACAAAACCATAGAAGACTACAACTTGTTTTAAATCATTTTTGGTCTGCAAATATGTAAAATCTGTGTGCAATTATCATGTATTTACAGGGTCTTGTGTTAGTCATTTTCAATGATTATTCCAACAATGTCACACTCTCAACATAAGACATGGCTTAAGATAAATATATTAGTAAATAAATATTCTGAGAACATATTTCCATAAATGAAATGTGCTGCTATACATATACAGAATATACATAAGTTGTCTTCTAGCTTTTAAAACATTTTTTAAAAATGGTAATGTTGGAAAAAGAGCCCTTAGACCATTTTATTACAAAATCTTTACAGCAAGGTCTTTACAAAATCTCTTTTAAGTGCTATGGGAAAAATTAAAAAATTTTAAAATAGTGCCTTGTTAGACCAACACAATAGAAAGAGTTTACATAAAGAGTAGAAAAAGGCAGTTCTGTTTAAAGAATAATAGTCTCGACTAGTAATTATTTTTTAGACCTCATTTTAAAAGCATTAGTCCTGCACGAACTTCGAGTAGAGACTAGCAGCACATAAGTATGTGAGCAGTGGGACAGAAGGGGCTTTATTTTATAAAAGGGCTTGGATTAGGAGGAGACAGGGAAGGAGCTGAGAGTTAAAGCCAGCTTACTGGGGCTGCATCCATAAAGAGGTACCTTGTTGGTAAACACCCAAACTTCCATTTTTAGCTGGTTCTAGAACTCTTCACTGTATATGGCTGTCCTACAGCCAGGGCTGGGTCACTTGACCCTGCCCAACTGCCACACCCCAACTTAGAGGGATTGGGGGCAGGGGTTCTCAGTGGAAAGTGAGATACTCCTAGTTTCCATGGCTATAAAACCACTACACACCACTCAGAGTCCACCGAAAAGGGTGTCTGTCATTGGTGGAGTCTTACAACTTCAAAGAGGACATTTCTTTTGATTTACGTGTGACAAAATAAGACCATCGGTTATTTTATTCCAGTGATCTCCCTGTCTGAGAAGCCAACACGAATTTAAAAGACAATGGTTGGTATTGCTGGGCAGGCATGGTGGCTCACGCCTGTAATCCCAGCACTTTGGGAGGCCGAGGTGGGCGGATCACCTGAGGTCGGGAATCCAAGACCAGCCTGACCAACATGGAGATACCCTGTCTCTACCAAAAATACAAAATTAGCTGGGTGTGGTGGCGCATGCCTGTAATCCCAGCTACTTGGGAGGCTGAGGCAGGAGAATCACTTGGACCCGGGAGGCAGAGGTTGCAGTGAGGTGAGATCGCGCCATTGCACTCCAGCCTGGGTGACAAGAGCAAAATTCCATCTCAAAAAAAAAAAAGGCAATGGTTGGTATTTGGTATTTAAGGTTTTAAAATTGCATTTTTGTTTCTACCACCTGTAAGCTACAAAAATTAAATGGGTTTCTTTCGCCATCTGCAGCTATCACTTGTTCAAGTGAAAACTAGACACACTTACTTTAATAAGCCCAGTTGAAGCCACATTCTCTACTCATCTATTTATTGCTTAAGGCTATTGAGAGGTGGTTTTCCAGCCAGGGCTAAAGAAAGCCACTTTGGGAGTTCGGTTTCAGACGAGGAAGAAAATATGCACTCAAAGGCATTAAAAACAAAACAAAAAAACCCCCCAGAAACAACAACAAAAAAATATCAGTGAGAAGCTGCTTTTTGCAGTTCATATTAAAAGCCAGACCCTGCTTCCCTAAAACCACGCAATGCAAGCTGCTGTCCTTAGCAGCTGCTACTCCTGGCCCGAGAAATGAAGGCGTCCCAGATCACATGTCACCAGCTTAGGCGCTTCTCACACCCTCGATAACAGGTGTGCGGGGCGCAGTCCGAGGAGCAGCCCCCAAGGGACTGCACCCGAGGACGGAGAACGGATCTCACCAGTGAAGCCTCAGTGGCAAATGTTTTGATCATTTGATGTTGGAATTTGTCAAATCCTAGCTAGAGATAAGTAAATTTCCTCATCATACGCTGAGGTTAAGAAAAACATTCTGATAAGAGTGAGATTCTCGTTCAAGACTGGAGAACCCAGGTGGTCCTTGTTCTCCTACCCACAGGGGGCCAGGTCTCAAGTTTCCTATTCTCAAGCGAGCTTTCAGACCCACTGGGCCAGTTCTTTCAGATGGCAACAAATATCTGATGAATGAATGAATAAATAAATACAAGTGACCAGAAGAGTTAGTGAACACAAAGACTAATATTAGTTTCCTCTAAAAAAAATTTTTTTAAAGAACAAGGAATACATTGGACAAAAAAGGATGACAATCCCTGATCTGAAATAGCTTTAAATAGATTCTCTCTCCCTTTTAAAAATGAAACACCTTAAAACCACAACGGTTTGGGTTTTTAAACTCTCCCCTTCCCCTTAATAAAAAAGGCTGGAAAAATATACAAAAACCTACCCTTTGGGTGTAAACTATCTGATAGTCTCTCTCTCTCTCTGTCTCATGGAGAATCAATACATAATAGTGCATTAGGTAGACAGGATAGTAGACATCTGCAGACGAGATGAGCAATTTCAGCCATGAGGCAGAGGACTGAATAACCCTGAAGCGGTGCTTCCGTGGGGGAAATGGGATAGGAAAGGTATCATTCAAATGGAGCTCAGTGCAGACCTCGTAGGTCCAGTCACATGCCCCCAGAAAGGCAGCCCAAGGAAGCAGCAGCCAAGGGGTGTGGCTGCCCCCACACAGATGCAGGCGCACTGCACATGGGTGTGCTGCTGGGTCAGTGGAGAGCACTCTCCCCCAGCCCCATCGGACACCAAGGCCACAAAAGTACATTCCTTCTGGGTGTCTGTCCCCACACACCCCGTCGAGCCATTTCTGCAGCCAGTGGCAGGGGGCCCAAAATATTTTTGCAAAGGACTCCAAAGCCAGGACAACCAAAGGGGACAACCTCCTCTTCCCTGCCCGGAGGGTCAGAGTTCAGGTCGAGGGCCCCAAGAACATGCCCTTACTATGACCTGGACCTCAGCCAAGACCAGGGCTGTGAACTCTGTCATTTCACTTGGGACCATGACCTGAGGGGACAGACTGAGGACACTGGGCAGAATCGTCCCCATCACCCTGGAGCTTTCATAGCAGCGGCTTGACCTGGCTCCGCAGGGCTGTGGATCATGTACACCCTATTCCTAGCTGCTGCCATCACCTGCCTAAAGGCGTGGGCTGGAGAGGCATGGCGTCTGAGACCTGAAATCGTGTACATTGGGATTTGCCACGAGAAAGAAAGAGGCAGTTTTGCACTGCTCCTCAGAGCCTGTACCCCTATCAACTAGCTTTACTTCAAGTTTCTGGTTCATTTTCTAAGGCAGGTGAAGCCCTGAGCTTTTCAAAGGCCTGAGCTCCCTTCAGGGAGACAACAGTATCTACACATGATGTGGTTCATTTAATGCAGCAGTGATTTTTTTTTCTTTTTCAGCAAAAGTTGGCAGTTAGGGTTCTTTAAAATATATATTTAAATAACTTTTTACATTTACATACAATATCTTAAAAAAAAACAAAGCAGAGAACTCAATCCCACACCTCGGAACCCCAAGCACACACACTTTACAAAACAGAACAACATGTTATCAAAAGAGGCAAAGGACTCGGAGAATTTTGTCTGTTGATTTGTTAATGGGGTAGGGGGTGGTTTTGCCACAGGGGGCTCACATTTTGGGTTGACAAGGAGGGCTCTCTTTATTACCACTTTTGTGTGTTTGTCAAAGCTAAAAAAATTTTTTGTTTTTGTTTTTTGAAAGAAGTCAGTTTGGAGTCTCCATACAGTTCCCAATTTCCAGGTAAGAGTTCCTCCTGAGCTCAGGCTCCCGGGCTGCTGCTGTCTGCTGAGTGAGATCTCGGTCCTGGGAAAGAGAGAGAACAATCATCAGGGGAGGGAGCTGGCACCACACATGGGACCAGGCAAGGGACTCAGGTGGCCCTGTCCCCAGCATGTGGCAGGCCTGTGTATGCTAAAGGGCTGAAGCAGGTTCCTGTTCCCAGAGGGGCTCCATTTGTGCTGAGAGCACAGGTACCTCCTGGAGAGCCAGCCTCTCACTTGGATGTAGAGAGCTTTCTAGAAGCCCTCAGGTAGCACGAAAGCCCAATATATTAAAGATGTTAACTGGGTGCCCGGTGTGCGTCAGGCCTTGGGAAAAGCAGCAGAGAGGACTCCCTCACAGAGATTACGAACCTTGAGACAAAGTAATTTAGCAATAGGATGACAGAAGTGAACAGAAGGTGTGTAGGTGATCTCAGAGGGGGCTGGAGTGTTACCTAACCTAAGATCTGGAGGAGAAAAGTAGCGGACAGGTCTGGGGGCTGGAATGAGCTTGGCACATGGGAAGAACGGGACAGGGGCCACAGGAGGTGAAAGCAGGAAGCAAGGAGAGTGAACCAGGAGCTCATCAGATGGGTTGGCAGGAGCTGGATCACACAGAACTGAGTGAGATGCTAACATTTATTATTATTTTTGAGACAGGGTCTTGCTGTGTTGCCTAGGCTGAAGTGCAGTGGTGAGATCATGACTACAGCCTCAATCTCTTGGGCTCAGCCTCCTGGGTATCTGGGACTAATGGCATGTGTCACCGTGCCCAGCTAATTAAAAAAAAATTTTTTTTTAAATTTTTTTTTAAGAGATAGGGTCATTCTATGTTCCCCAGGCTGGTCTCCAGCTCCTGGCCTCAAGTGATCCTCCTGCCTTGGCCTTCCAAAGCACTCAGCCAGGAGTTAACTTTTTTTTTTTTTTTTTGAGACGGAGTCTCGCTCTGTCGCCAGGCTGGAGTACGATGGGGCGATCTCAGCTCACTGCAACAACGGCGTCCCGGGTTCAAGCGATTCTCCTGCCTCAGCCTCCCGAGTAGGTAGAACTACAGGCACACGCCACCACGCCCGGCTAATTTTCATATTTTTATTAGAGACGGGGTTTCGCCATGTTGGCCAGGATGGCCTCGGTCTCTTTACCTGGTGATCTGCCTGCCTTGGCCTCCCAAAGTGCTGGGATTACAGGCGTGAATCACCGCACCCGGCCAACATTTTTAAGATTTTAAAGGTAATGGCAAGTCATTGAAGGGTTTTCTAGCACAAAGACATCAACTTATGTTTCAAAAAAGGCCACTCTGGTTCCAAGTGGAATAGAAGGCAAGACCAGTGACAGCAGATCAGTCAGAGGTTATTGCCTCTGTCCCGAAGAGAGGAAAATGAGACTGGACTGAGGGGATAGCAGTGGGAGTGCAGAGAAGTAGATACATTTGGGATGTACTTTGCAGGTAGATCTTGTTGCAGTGCTACTCAGAGGTGCTAGACTCCAGTTTATTACTGAGACAGCATGTTTGGAAATCTTGTAGCAATCTGATGTCTGTTGAATCTAATAATAAAATACCTGGACTTGTATCTTACATGTCTTTTGCTAAGTTTCATTTTCTGGGAATTCATTTTCATGGACTGAGGCAAAAACAAGCAACTGGGGTCCTTCACAGGCGGGTTGAGAAGCCCAGGAGGCTGAAGTGCAAGGGGCAGGGTGGGCACAGGGATGGGGCCTAGGTTTTTTTTTTTTTTTTTTTGAGATGGAGTCGCTCAGGCTGGAGCGCGGCTCACTGCAACCTCCGCCTCCCAGGTTCAGGCGATTCTCCTGCCTCAGCCTCCGGAGTAGCTAGGATTACAGGTGCCCGCTACGCCCAGCTAATTTTTTTGTATTTTAGTAGAGATGGGGTTTCACCATATTGGCCAAGCTGGTCTCGAACTCCTGAACTCAAGTGATTCACACGCCTTGCCCTCCCAAAGTGCAGGGATTACAGGCATGAGCCACTGGGTCCTGCCTTTTTTTTTTTTTTTTTTTTTAAGACAGAGTCTCGCTCTGTCACCCAGGCTGGAGTGCAGTAGCTTGATCTTGGCTCACTGCAACCTCTGCCAACCAGGTTCAAGTGATTTTCCTGCCTCAGCATCCTGAGTAGCTGGGACTACAGGCACCCGCCACCACCCCTGGCTAACTTTTGTACTGAGTAACGAGAATGTTTATGAAGTGGCTCCTACATAATATCCCAGCCATGAGGAGTCATGAACCGACTCCATGGTTTTGCCATGTTGGCCAGGCTGTCTCCAACTCCTGGCCTCAAGTGATCCACAGCCTCGGCCTCCCAAAGTGGTTGGGTGAGCCAAGATTAGAGGCATGAGCCACTACCCCCAGCTGGTGCTAGGTTTTTGGTGTGAGCATGCGGATGGGGAGCAGGGCAGAGGGGGAAATGAGTACTGCTGTGGACATGACAGGCTGCAGGCATCTTGGGGAGAGATCCCGAGATCATGGAAGCAGAGGGCTCAATGGGTCTGAACTCCAAGGGAGGGCCAGGCTGAGGAGTAACCCTTGGAAGTCTTCAGCCTCAGATGGTGTTTAAAACCAAGGACACAAAAGAAGTCATTCAGAAAATGCCTAAGACAGAAGACAAGACGACCCTGATGGAAACTCCTGCTCTGACCTACTGCCATTTCCTGCTCTCACCTGCAGCCTCAGTGGCAGTGGTGCTGGACTCCTGAGTGTCCTGGAGGGCACTAGGGAAGTTGGCCCTGACAGCACCCGCCTCCTCCGGAGGGCAGCCAGGCCGCAGTAGGGCCCTAGCCTGGCAGCACAGAGCCCGCTCCTCTTCCCGGGTTGCTCCCAGGCCCCTGTGGGGCCGTGGGGTATCCGGGCCTCGCGTCCCACCCCAGGAGCCGAGGCTGTGGGTCCCTTGGCAGTCCGAGGGCAGGCCCAGATCACAGTCCACATCCTCTGGAATGATGGGGATGCGCTGGCTCAGGTCCCGGGCCCCGGGGTAGCAGCCGGGCGGTGGTTCCTCGGTGAGCGTGTACTGCACACTCACCGAGTAGTCCTCAGTGTAGCAGCCGCTGCCCCCTCCGCCCCCGCGGGCCACCTGCTTCTCTTCATAGAAGCAGCAGGGCAGACCCTCGTATTTCACCCCATCTGTCCTGGGCAAATGGTCGGGGTGAAGGCCGTACAAGCCCTGGGAGCTTCCTGACTGGGGCTCCCCACCCGCCGGGCCAGAGCCCTCGTAGAGGTGGGGCCCCAGGAACAAGGTGCTGCTGCCAGCTGCTCCGGCGCTAGGCCCGGCTGGGGAGGGCTGGGGCTCGCAGCAGCAGGCACACGACGGCAACTCGTGGCCCCCCTTCCAGGTCCTCCTGAGGTCAGGGGCGGCCCCAGGAGAAGCCTCGAGCCCCACTTCTGAGGTAGAGCTATTGGGCCCCCTGTGCTCCAGGGAGGAGTTGCTGCTGTAGTTCATCTCCAGGCTGCAGGTGGACACCTGATCCCCCGAGGGAGAGGCAGGGCCCGGCCAAGGCTCGCCCCGCCCAGCACCATGACTGTGCACCGCCGGGAGCTCCTCGGGAGGCGGGGAGCCCTCGAAGCACAGGGCAGGTCCCCGGCCCGAGCTGCCCGAGCCCCCCGCCTCACTGGCACGACAGGGGCTCCGGCTGCGGTAGATGAAGGGGTCATAGTCGCTGCTGAGGGAGCTGCGGAAGGTGGAGCAGCTCCCGTACACGCCCTGGTTGCTGACCTCAGTGCAGTCTACCACAGAGTCACTGGAGGAACAGTGGCACTGGCCGGAGCTGCTGCTGCTGCTGCTGTCGCTGCCTGGGCAGTCGGCCAGGTAGCCACTGCACACCGAGCGGTGGCCGTGATAGCAGCTGAAGCTGGACGTGCTGCCGCTCTCCAGGTGGGAGGGCGGGGCCACGTGCACCACGGTGGGGAAGAGCAGGCTGCCACTGCCGCTCGGAGGAAAGGCACGGGCCGGGCCCCGGGGTGCGAGGCTAGGTGGGGACTGCCCCTCCTGCTCCGGGTAGCTGAGGCCCTGGAAGTAGTAGTGCTGGTACATGGTCTCATACTGGGAGAAGCAAGCTGCCTTGGAGAAGCTGCGGCCACTCAACTTGGGCCTGCGGAAGGGGTGGGCTGGGGAGTAGGCCCGGTGCTCCAGGCCGCAGCGGTGAGCGGCCAGGCTGTGGTCCAGGTGGAGGGGTGGGTAGCTGCGGATGTAGGCGGGGGTCTGCGGGGAATAGAGGCTCTGCTCCCCGTGCCGGTCCATGGTCAGCAAGGTGACGGGGTTGCCGTGGGAGTCCATGCTTGTCCTCGTAGGGTAGGCTGGGATGGCGTTGGTCCTGTGCACGCGGCCGGGGTAATGCACCGGCAGGGTCACCCTCTGCTGCCGACCACGTGAGAGGTTGCTGGTCTCCACACACACCGCGCTTGGGTTTCCCTTTTGTTCTGGAGACAAGTGGAGGAAACAGAGTAGGCAGGGCTGAGCATACTGGTGTCAGAGGCTAAAGGGATTTTTAAAACGGGCAAAGGCTGAAGCAGCAGGCTTGGTCACCTGCCAAGGTACCCATTCTCACAACCCTGCCCCCAAACTGAGCTGCAGCGGCAGAGGCTGACCTGCCTGTCTGTGTGAAATGGCCCATCTCCTGTAAGGGCCCCGCTCCCAACTCCCCACTGCTCTGCCTGACAGGGCACCACAGAAGTCTGCAGAAAAGAATCGGATTCAAAGATGCCAGTGTCCCTCCATCCCTGTTTAATGACACAGTGATGCAGGAGCAACAGCCCAAGCTGGCCTCTGCACACTCATCGTCTCTCGTGGTCCTAGGAACACCCCCATGGTACTGGGTGTGGGCAAACACCATTACTGTCATTGCCACTAAAGAGATTAGGGGCCTCAGGCCTAGGAGAGGCCAGATGTCTTGCCCGAGGTCAAGAAGCTGCTTAATGTGAAGCCCAAACTTGAACTCAGGGTGATTCTTAATGCCAAGCTCTCCTAAGGGTCGTGCAGACAACCTCCAAAACCCAGGGCTGCCAGGCCTCCAAGTCCAGAGGGCAGTGCCACGGTGGTTCTGAGTGTTCCCAAGCCTGCGGTGTGTGTCACACTCTAGCTAGGCACTTGACTCTTCAGCAATGGCTAAGGCGGGTGACAGTTACCTATGATGTTGTGCCGACAGTGGGGGCAGGTGTGGTGCTGCAGCAGCCAGGGGTCCACGCACTTCCTGTGAAACCGGTGAGTACAGGGGATGACCCGCAGCTCCTGGGCAGGGAGAGAGGGGACACAAGTCTGCCTTCAGCCTCGCAGGTGTGTCCTCCTGCAGAGTCCAGCATAGACCAAGGAGTTCTGCACAGCATGCCCGTGCCCTTCCCTACTCTCCTCCCCACCTCCAATTAGGGCTCAATTCCCTAGAAGCAGGGCCCACCCATGTGTTCTAGGAAGAAGGAAACTGCCAGCAGTCAGCCCCATCCACAGTCCTCAGTGTTAAGGGAGTGGGCACGCACAGAGGCAGGCGTCTTTCCCGTAGCTGGAGGAGGGCAAACACACTCATGCCTCCACCCAGGGAGGGCCGAGTCCTCCTGCTAGTGAGGATGGGAGGCTTAGGGGTATGGAGAGAGGGCCAGGTATACCCCAAGATATTCTGCATCTCTGAGGTGCTGGCTGTCCCTGGGTATCCCAAATAGGCATGAGTAGAAAGGAAGATACCTGGGACTCATGATTGACAGGTGTGGCAGCAAAGGGGTAAAGCTCTGCTATCCCCTCCTTTACTGGATCCTGAACCTCACCATGGGGTGTGTGGTTTATAAGAAAAGCAGCCTATCTAGACAGATAGAGTTATTGGGACAGAACCACCTCCAGAGTTCCTAAGCCTAAGCATCTTCCAGATTTGCTCATTTTACTTTGTCTTTCAATTTTCTGACCTGTCTAGTACAGTAATATTCCAGCTCACACCTAACACTGTGCCTGACAGAATGACAAAGGGTCTACCCTGGATCTTCTCATGGAACCTTCATGATCACCTGGAATGCTGGTCAGTGTCAGGCCCATGTCACAAGAAAACGAAGTCACTTGCCCAAGATCACAAAGCTAGAATCCACCCAGGTCAGGATTAGAACCCAGAGTCTGTGTAAGAATCTACTATTCTATTCTGCAAAAATTCCATTTCCATCCAACAGTCTCTGCAGCAGTGGAACATTTTCAACAAAGGCGCATCAAATGTCTGTAATTCTCAAGTGGTTTGCTCCCTGCCCCGCAAATATGTGTATGTATGCATCTGTCTAGAGAGAGGGAGAGTGAGCAAATGTGGCAAAATGTTCATCATGGATGATTCTAGGCCCCTGACATATATCGTCTATGGTACTAGTCTTTTCTGAAGGTCTGAAATTTTCTAAGACAGACAAAGTCTCACTCTGTTGTCCAGGCTGATATGCAGCGGTGTAATAATAGCTCACTGCAGCCTCAAGTTCCTAGCCTCAAGTGATCCTTCCACCTCAGCCTCCCAAGTAGCTAGGACTACAGGCATGGTACTAGGCCTAAAATTTTCAAAGAGCTACAAGAAAAAAAAGTGAGGGATATAAAATCCCTTGTCTCTTTGTAAGTAAAAACACCCAGCTAAGTATCAAGTCAAGTCTCAGAATTTTCAGAAGAGTGACTCTAAAAGTTGATGTGTGTGATGGAACACAGGGCCCTGTCCTTCTAGGTCTTGGGCACCTCTGCTGACCTGCCTATGTTTTCCCCACCCAGGACGGGCCTGCTTCTGCCATTACCTCTCCATCAATGTACTTCTCCAGACAGATGGCACAGTCGGACGTGGAGCTGCTGCTGAGTGTGTCCAGGGCCCCACAGCTCCCCTCCCGGCGCCCCTTGCTCTTGGAGTTGAACTTTCTGGTTTCCATCTTCTCTAGAGCCTGCACAGCCAGCCTGTTCATGGAATTCTGCAGGGCAGAATGTAGTCTGTGTGAGGGTCCAGTACGTATGAAAGTGGCAGTCACCCCAGGGACATGACACACGATTCACTGGGACAGGCAGACAATTCTCTATCATGCCGGAACAGACTTCTGAGAAGTCGCTCAGAACTCAGACTGCCATAGCACATATTCTCCAGACGCGTGGGGTGTCCACGACATCAACCTAGGCTTTTCCTAAGTGGCAAGACTAGCAGGGGTCTCTCTGATTTGAAGGCAGGGGTCTCCTCCAATTACTTGGACCTGCTGCCTCCTAACTCTGCCAGACCCCGAGTTATCAACCTGTTCTACGCCAAGCGTTCCTCCTCTTTCTGTTGAAGGAGGTGGTGACAGTAAATAGACAATGTGTAAGTGCTTAGCACCTGGCAAATAGGCTGTGCTCAAAAAACACAAGCCATCATCTTGTTGGGGGTGGTCGCTCAACCCTCAAGAGAACTTTGGTGATTCTCTTCTCTACAGATTGCCTTCCAAGATCCACCATCTCTCCCCTGAGACATGACCCTGCCATACATTTGGGGGTCCAGATCTCTGCTTATCCTCTCACCACCCCCTACCCGAGTTTCTCCTTCCTGCAAGCACAAAGTGATGTGGCTGCAGTGCTACAGCAGCTACTGTTAATCAAGCATCACCCAGAGAGCCTGGTATACTGTGTAGGTGGCCTGGAGCGGAGCCTGAGACCCTGCATTTCTATCAGGCTTCCAGGTGCTGCCGTTGCTGCTGGACCACAGATTCTATCTGAGGACCAAGGCTCTAGGGCGCCACTTGATGTACTGGGACAGGCAAACACTTCTCAATCATGCCAGAATAGACTTCAGAGAAAGCACTCAAAACTCAGACTGCTACAGCACATATTCTAGACCTGTGGAGTGTTTATAATACTTATTAACGTTGACTTAAACACTTCCTTTGGGACGGGCGTGGTGGCTCACGCCTGTAATCCCAGCATTTTGGGAGGCCGAGGCGGGCGGATCACATGAGGTTAGGAGTTTGAGACCAGGCTGGCCAACATGGTAAAACCCCGTCTCTATTAAAAATACAAAAATTAGCCGGGTGCCTGTAATTCCAGCTACTTGGGAGGCTAAGGCATGAGACTCAGTTGACCCCGGGAGGTGGAGGTTGCAGTGAGCCGAGATCATGCCATTGCACTCCAGCCTGGGTGACAGAATGAGATCTTGTCTCAAAGAAATAAAAAAATAAAATAAACACTTCCTTCGAAACACCTGCTGGAGATATTCCCAATGCTTAACCTTTGTAGGACTAGCCCTTTTAGAACAGAGAAGGCACTGGGCTGTAAGTTTTGATCTTTTTTTTTTTTTTTTTTTTGTGAGACAGGGTCTTACTCTGTTACCCAGGCTGGAATGCAGTGGTGTGATCATAGCTCATTGCAACCTCTGCCCTCTAGGCTCAAGTGATCCTCCCACCTCAGCCTCCCGAGTAGCTGGGACTACACGTACATGCCACCATGCCCAGCTAATTTTTGTATTTTTGGTAGAGACGGGGTTTTGCCATGTTGACTAGGCTGGTCTTGAACTCGTGAGCTCAAGTGATCTGCCTGCCTCGGCCTCCCAAAGTGCTGGGATTACAAGCGTGAGTCATGGTGCCTGGCCTAGTTTGCTCTTATTTTTTTTCCATCTTTGCAGTTTCTAGGCCACTGGGAACAGGCTGCAGAGCTCAGAGTCCACAGCTGTGAGGCTCCATGTTGCACCATCAAAAAATAAGGTGACGAGAGTCCTGGTTTTCCCCAGTGTCACGGCAAGAGGGGTTACTGCTCACGGGCTACACACAGAGGCACTACCTGACTGCGTCGCTGCTTCAGCTTGATTTTGACAAGGAGGATGAGGCAGACCAAGGAGACCACGACGAAGAAAGCCAGGAAAATCCCCATGTCAAAGTATTCAGTGGGTTGCTGGAACGGAACACAGACACAGTGAGTCACAGCCTCTCTCCAGCCTGGTAAGCGGCACATGGGCTATCTTGGCTTTGTCAGGATAAAGATGGGGTGACCGGGATGAGTTTCCCCTCAATTTGCAGGAAACTCCTGGGGTTCTGCTCACATGCACATGGTGTGCTCCCTAGGCCCATGTAGTGCCTTTGGTGTGGCCCAGGGGGACGCCTGTGGCGATCTCAGCCAGGCCCCCCAAGAGCCAAGGGAACTCTGTTGGTAAAGCCTGTGGAATACTGCAAAGTTGGCTGTAACTGGTAAGAAAGGCCCTTCCAAATCAACACAAATAATCACATTTATAGGACAAAAGAGTGAGTGTCATGTTTTGAGGGAACAGTGATTACTAACCGTATAATTAATGGTTTACAACAACTCAGAAAATTGTATGCTGCTTCCACAAATATCAGCTTCCACTACAATGAGTCATATTTACCAAAGCGCTTTTTTTTTTCCCTTTAAAAAGAAGCCAACAAGTCAGTTCAGCAAACTCCCTCTAGTTTTAGTTCTTACCTTTTCCTCACTGCCTCCTAAAACCTCACAGCCACCTTATCTGGGACCTCCATTTGGCCAATGGGAATAGAGCTTTGCAAAGTGGAAGCTGCATGTAACCGGCTATGTTGTGTATGGGAAAGAATCATCCTACACTGTGAATGTCCCAATATTTGTGAGGAGGAAATAACACCAATATAGGGCACCAGCCCAAGGTTCCTGGAATTCTTCAGCTTGAGGTTTGAGCAGAAGAGGCTGGTTAAGAGTTAGTGGCCAGTAGTGTCTCTTCTACATACTTAAGAGATGCAGATGCTATTCATTTAGCCGTCGAACTCAATCCCAGTTGAAAGCTAACTTTTCCAGACTCAAATTAACTTGGGGAGTTTCAATAAGGTAATCTACTCTACAGGAAGAAGGAAATACAAGCCTTTTTTTCTAGTGTCTAAGCCAGATAGAAGAAGGAAGCCACGGGAAGCCAGGTGCTGGATGCCCCATCCCTTCAATCCTCCTCAGTTTGCCTTTCAGAGGGAGATGGGATGGAAAAGAAAGGATGAGAGATGGCCAAGAGGGAATGCCAGGTGGAAGAGGCCAGAGACATCTTAGCACAAAAGTATCTATTTCTGGTAGGATTTCTCAAATTCACTATAAAGGAACATGAGTAAAATTTCACCCTGGCCTTGAGTCCAATAGCTGATCTAAGCCTGCAGGAACCTGGGGTATGCCAGCATTTCAGACAGAGATAGGAATGAAAGCCCAAGGGAAATAAAGGGACAGGTAGTAGCAGAGAAGGCCCCGAGCCTGTGCCAAATGGTGCGGAGGCTCACTCGAGGAGGGCGGTGCTGGATCCTTGCTCGAGCCACTTTCTGCTTGTTGACGATGTTCATCAGCTTAATGGCATCTGCACCCTTCACATACACCACCGGCCTCTTGAGCGGGTCTTCAGAGCCCTGGTTCAGCTAAGGAAGAAGAGAGGGCTCTGGTTAAAAGGTGCGCTTACTTTAAGAAGCAGTAGAGAGAAAGAAAGGCTGGAGGGAAGGAACACTGAATACCTGTCTGGAATCCTCCAGCTCTTCCAACATTACAGCCTTGGAGCTCCCAGAAGAGCAAGGCTGAGAATGACGCTTGTTTTGGGATGGACTGGGCAAGCAGAAGGCCCAGAAAGGTCTTAGAAAATGCCCCCTGAACCCGGTGCAGTGGCTCACGCCTATAATCCCAGCACTTTGGGAGGCCGAGGCAGATGGATCACAAGGTCAAGAGTTCAAGACCAGCCTGGCCAACATGGTGAAACCCCATCTCTACTAAAAACACAAAAATTAGCCAGGCGTGGTGGCTCGTGCCTATAATTCCAGATACTTGGGAGGCTGAGGCAGGAGAATCGCTTGAACCCGGGAGGTGGAGATTGCAGTGAGCTGAAATTGCGCCACTGCACTCCAGCCTGGGTGACAGAGCAAGACTCCATCTCGGGGGAAAAAAAGAGAAAATGCCCCCTGTGCCCCAATTCCCTGGCTCTTAACCTCGCCCAGTATACCTCCTTTGGGAATTATGTCCAAACATGGACACCTAACTTCAGAAGACAAGAGCAAATGCTCTGAGATGAGGGTGACATGACCGGGACAAGCCAAGCTCACTAAAGGAAGTGCCTTTCTCAGGGAGGCTGCAGTGTTGGCATGGCCTGAGGAGCTTACCTGATCAATAGCTTCTGGGTTTTCAGACACATCAAAGATGACTGCAGTAGCTCCCCGCTGTACTGCTCGCTTGGCCTGCCAGAGTTAAAAAAACAGCAGGTTGGCCCTCTGGTCCTCTTACCTTTTCAAAGTTGGCCTTGGCAATCAGGCCTGTAATCAAATGCAGAATCTGACAGTTACCAACTTAGGTGACTTCAGGGATGTTACTTCACTTTCCTAATCCTCAATTTTCCCATCTATAAAGAAGGGGACTGATGACTAGAGTTAACAATAACATATAGTTTCAAATAGCTAGGAGAAGGACATTCCCAACACAAAGAAGTGATAAATGTTTGAGATAATGGATATGCGAATTACCCTGATCTGATCACTATACCTTGTATGTATTGAAATATTGCTATGTACCCCACGAATATGTACAATTATTATCTGTCAATTAGAAAACTTTTTTTTAAAGAGGACAATTTCACCTACCTTGTATGGTAATCATGAGGTCAGATGACTTATAATAGGGGAAAATACATAATTGATAACTTAACAAACTTTTGTCTTCCTATCCAGCCCAAATACTGAAAACAACCTACACATCAACAACCTGCCCAGTCAGTACAGAGGTATTGGTTTCAGTATTTCCTGTTTCAGAGCCATTGGCAACCAAAGCAAGTGCCTTTGGTCCATCTCATGCGGTTCCTTTTTCCTTCCCATGTCACCCAGTTAGAAGAATATATTGAGTATTTCTGAATGAGTCTCAAAATGGTTAATTTTAATAAGTGACACAAGCTGAAGACCTCTGGAGACACTGTCGGTGGTGGGAGCTGTGAAAAATAATTGTAAATGGGGTTTTGAAGCAGTTGGCTGCCAGACCTGGCTACACATCAAAAGCCACTTGGGAAGTTTGTAAAGCAGGTTTCCTGGCTCAAACCACAGAGACTGATTGAGCAGGGCTGGAGTCAGGCCCAGGAAACTGAGTTGTGTATGCTTTCTGGGGGATTCAGATGATTCAACTACTTGGGGAACTACTGATCAGAGGGATGAGATTAGAATGTTTTAGGAACAAATGAGAAGTGACGGGATTCTTTTTGGGGGAGGTGGGGGAAGGATTCCTTTCCATCCCAAAGAACCTTCTAATTCCATGTCCAGCTAAGGGGACAGCAAGGCAGAAGCTGTGGAAAAACAAGACTTAAGATATAGCATGGCTGGAGTTCGAGACCAGTCTAGGTAACATAGCAAGACCCCATTATCTAAAAAATAACAGAAAAATTAGCTGGGTGTGGCAGGACGTAACTGTAGTCTCAGCTACTCGGGAGGCTGAGGTAGGAGGTTTGATTGAGCCCAAGAGGTAGAGGTTGGGTTGTGATTGCACCACTTCATTCTAGCCTGAGTGACAGAGCAAGACCCTGTCTCCACAAAATATATACATACATACATACATGCATGTCCTGGCTTTTAGGAGCCTGAATCTTGTTAGGGAAGTAAGACACTTCTAATGTGTGTATGTATAGAAGGCAAACCCAGCCTTCTATAAGACGCGCAAATGATGGCTAGTGCTTAGAGATCAACAGAGTTACTATGGGCCACAGTGCTTGAGAAAGAATAAAATTGAAATTCCTTTCCGTAGGAATAATCGCTCTACATTGATGTGGCGTGAGAAAGCAAAGTTGCCCAGAACACAGCTAGACCAATAGCTCCACTGGCCCACTAGAGGGCAGTCTCACCCTATAGCTTTTACAACAAACCAATTCCTTGTATTTAGCACCAAACAGTACCAAAAACAACTTCAGTAAAATCTTCAGTATACTGCAAGTTCCTTGGCAGTTTAAGAAGTTCTGGCACTCTGGACAATCTGTCTTTGTCTTGCAGGGGACCCTTTCTTTTTGAATGGAGATTCAATGCATTGAAAGTCTCTGCCGATTGTCCACCACACCCTGTTTCATCACCAGATTGCTAGGCTAGGAGTCAGGAATGAATCCTGGGAGCTATTCCTGCCTCTGCCACTGGCATGCTGCCAACAGTGGACAAGTCACTCAATTGCTTTCAGCCTCAGCCTCAGTTTCCCCATCTGTTAAAAAAAAAAAAGGCGGTGGGGGATGGCTGGGCATGGTGGCTTATGCCTGTAATCCCAGCATTCTGAGAGGCTTAGGCGGGTAGATCACCTGAGGTCAGGAGTTCCAGACCAGTCTGGCCAACATGGTGAAAGCCTATCTCTACTAAAAATGCAAAAAATCAGCTGGATGTGGTGGCATGTGCTTGTACTCCCAGTTACTCGGGAGGCTGAGGCAGGAGAATCACTTGAGCCTGGGAGGCGGAGGTTGTAATGAGCCGAGATCGCACCACGGCACTCCAGCCTGGGCGACAGAGTGAGACTCTGCCTCAAAAAAAAAAAGGGGGAGGGGGTGCAGGGAGGCCGCCTATGTTATTATGACTAGAGTCCCTTCTAAATTCCCAGCCTTGGTCACTCAAATGAGAAGCAGCAGGCTATCAGAGCAACTCAGAACTACACTGGCCCTGTCACCCTCCTCCAGGAAGAGAGGATGCTGATGACACAGCTGAAAAAGTGTGAGGCGAGAGTGGCATCACTTTCCTCCACCATAGAGCTATCTATCTTTCTATCTATCAGAGATGGGCTTTCACTCTGTCACCTGGGCTGGAGTGGTGCAATCATAGCTCACTGCAGCCTCAAACTCCTGGCCTCGAATGATCCTCCTGCCTCAGCCTCCTGAGTAGCTGGGACTGCAGGTGCCTGCTACCATGCCAGGCTAATTTTTTTTTTTTTTTTTTTTTTTTTGGTAGAGACGAGGTCTCACTATGTTGCCCAGGTTGGTCTTGAGCTCCTGGGCTCAAGTGATCCTCCCATTCCGGCCTCCCAAAGTGCTGAGATCACAGGCATGAGCCACCATACTGGCTATCCATAGAGCTCTTTAGGGACACAGACTCCTCTGCCAGAGGCCAACAGCTCATGGATGCCAGAGTTAATATAATTGTAAGTAGATGCTGGTGTTTTCCGCTTAGGTGGTATCCTAGGCTTTTTCATAAATTCCTTCTCCAGACATAGAAGGGCCCTGAGGAAAAGCACTAAAAATGAGGAAATAAACAGCCCCTCTCATTCCTTTATTTGGCTTTCATTCCACAATCAAGCACATCAAACAGCACCCTCGGGGAAGGTACAATTCAGATAAGTCCAGATCAGGAGCGCGGTACCTGTGCGCTTTGATGCAGGTGCACCTGGAGAGTCTAATGGCCTCAGGATGAAAGGCTGCAGGATCTGGGGTAGGGAATGCCTTCCCAGGAGAGACATGCCTCAGGGAAGCCATTTAGCCACGTGGCCTTCTTAAAGTTCAGGCTTCCCTGCTCCGCCCGGAACGTGGAGGTCTCAAGGACTCAGAGGTTCCGGATGAAGCATGATCCATTTGAGAGACACAAAAGACGTTTTTCACAAAATCTAGGACATGGTGATATGTTTCCTGGTTTTTACAGTGAAGAGGGCAGGTCAGTAATAAGGCAGCTGGTTGTAGTTGCACGGGCCTGTAATCCCAGCTACTTGGGAGGCTGAGGCGGGAGTATCACTTGAGCCCAGGGGTTTGAATCTGTCTCTCTCTCTCTCTCTATATATATATATATGGTGCTTAAATTCCATTTACAGCTTGACTTCCAATACAACCAGGCAAAGGCACAGGATCTAAGGACATACCTTGTTTGAGAAAAATACTTCATTCGCACAGGTGATCTACTTTTAAAATAATATTTAATGTAAACTACTATTAAAATCAGTTTGTATTTCCTGCACACACCAGGACTGGACAGGAGGGGAGCCAAGCTAAGATCCTAAAGGGAACTTGCCTGTCAGAAGCCAGCTTAGGATTTAAAATAGGCCATGAATAACCCATATTTAGAAAAAGACACTTTTATTATACTGTTCTGAAAGGAAATTAAAAAAATACAGGCCAGGTGCAGTGGCTCATGCCTGTAATCTCAGCACTTTCGGAGGTTGAGGCAGGAGGACTGCTTGAAGCCAGGAGTTCAAGACTAGCCTGGGCAATATAGCAAGACTGTCTCCACAAAAAAGTTAAAAACTAGGCAGGCATGGTGGCATTCACCTGTAGTCCCAGCTCCTCGGGAGGCTGAGGTAGACTGCTTGAGCCCAGGAGGTTGAAGCTGTAGTGAGCCATGATTGTGCCACTGCACTCCAGCCTGGGCGACAGGGCGAGACCCTGTCTTAAAAAAAAAAAAAAAAGCAACAGAACATTACTTGGTCATTCTTTGCCCCCTGCCCTTATTTTCAGTTTAAAAATTGATGAGGCATATTCCTTGAACCAATCACTCTCACAGATCATTCACCATTTTAATTACTCAAGTGTAGACCAGAATATTATTTCAAAACAAACCTAGACCCTAATTAGGAGTTCACAGTCTTGTGGCCACCAGAAATCCTATCTTTAGGATCTTTAAGTCACATACTTAACGTCCAAAACTCTGAAGCTGGGGCCCTTTCAAAGAAAGGATGGGAAAGATGCAGCCTGGTGGATATGGTTGGATGAAAGTCACTGGTAAACTGGGCTGTAGCTGGAGAGGGCCGTTATCCCTAAACTGTGCACAGCCTGGAGTGCAAGATTAACAGAAGGGTGTGACTGCAGAACACAGGTGGGAAGTTTTGGCAAGGCCTCCCAGAAGCAGCCAAAGGCCTTGTCTTGCTGCCCTCTATGTGCCCTTCCCCTCATCCCCACCCACAAGGGTATCTTCACATCCTTCATCACCTTTGCTACTTCCATCCTTGCTCAGGCCAGGGCAGGTTGGCACCAGCCAGCAGGTGACCAGAAACCCAGTGCAGAGTGCTGAATGAAAGATTGCCACGGTCCTTTTATTTACCTTCCCAGGGCTGCTGGACTCGAGACTAGATAATGTCTGTGGCCATTGAGACAAGTAGCAAAAGAGCAAACACTTGCGCCCTTAAAATACATTTGCAAAGTACAAAATTCCAGCCTCTAGAAGACAGGGCCCTATTGTGGTTGGCACTTACCACTCCTATGGTTATTCAATAAATGTTTATTATAAGTGAAAGCAAGCTTGCCTGGTACCATACTCGGGTTACTACTGGTAAAAAGAAAGTGCTCCCTGACTGTGAATGTTATGTGGTTTTCTTTCATAAGGAAGTGCTTTTACTAGTAAGATTGAGTCTAGAATGTTCCAGTGCAAATGTACCAATTATGATGAGAATTGTCCCATCACCACTTTGTGGGTGGGAAAACGTGAAGCCTAGAGCCCACCACTTACCAGGAATTCCACTCAGGAATGGATCTGGCATTCTCCCCAGTGTGTGTAGTTATACCCAGACTTGGTTTGGGGCTTGGACCTACCGCCATCTCTATTCCCTGGAGTCTCTGGGGCACGGATTCCACTTTCACCTGTTTACCTGTTCCTCTGTCAAGCTCTTGGATGTGGTATCCCTAGTGCCTACCCTTTATTGCGGGAAAACTTTGACAGAATACAGTCTTAATAGGAAATAACCCAAAAGATGACTAAAAATCTCATTTGTCCCACATTCCTGACCATAAGCTAACCAAGGAAGCTGGACTGTTAGCGCTAATATGAAGACATGTCTTCAACCTCTTACAGGAAGTTGCAGACATATGGGAGCCCCAAACAGAATTTTTTGCCTCTACTGAATACAATTTTGCCTTCTGGCTTTTTTTCTTTATCATAAGCTTCTAAGTTATTAAAAATTCTTTGTAAATATTTTAAATGGCTGTGATTTTTTTTTCCTACACACTATACATGTATTTCTGATATTTGGGTTGTTCCAGTTTTTAAAATTATAATTAATACTACATTGAATAAATACTGGTTTTCATTTCTAGTTTCCAGAGGACATAGGTAGGCCCTGTGCCAAAGAATATAAAGATTATGAAGAATCTCAATAAAATCCACATCAAATTTTAATGCTCCTCTTATATACCCACCCAATTCTTACTTGGCTGCATAAATGACAAGATAGATAGACTGGCACAGACAATACAGGCAAATTTGTCAACAGATTTAATTTCTGGGTTAGGCGGTCTGTTGATGAGCTGGGTGGAAGGGAGAAAGAAGTGAGTTTGAGAGTAACTCTCTAGATGATGATACTTCACATGCAGAAAGACACTTTAGAGTCAAATATAATGAGTTGATCATATTAATACTAACATTACTAATCCTTCAAGGTCCAGTTCCTGTGTAACCTTTTCCATAAAACTAATGGTGCTTCTCCTTAGCCAAAGGACAGATAAGATACCTCTCTCTGAGCTCTAATATCTTAGGGTTTCTCTTGTTGTTTACCACTTCTGTAATACATTTTCCCTGAAAATACGATCATCTTTAGAGTTTTTGCTATTTATAAGGGTAATATGTGCATGATATGAACAATTTAAAATAACTCAGAAATTGAAAGCAAAAAATAACTCATCTGTTACCCCCTATATCCCAGCATTTTAACATAATGGTGTGGTTTATAGCCTCCATTGTTTTTTTAACCCACATATTGGCAAGAATAAAATGCATGTGTTACAGACACACGCCCACCAAAATGTAGTTTAAAATATGCTGGATTAGTACCTATAATCCCAGCTACTTGGGAGGCTGAGGAGGGAGGATCGCTCGAGCCCAGGAGCTTGAGGCCAGCCTGGGCAACATAGACCCCAGCTGTTAAAAATCGTTTAAGGCCGGGCGCAGTGGCTCACACCTGTAATCCGAGCACTTTGGGAGGCCAAGGAGGGTGGATTGCCTTAGTTCAGGAGTTCGAGAGCAGCCTCGGTAACACGGTGAAATCCCACCTCTAATAAAATAAAAAAAAAAATTTAGCTGGGCGTGGCAGCGTGCCCCTGTAGTCCCAGCTACTCAGGAGGCTGAGGCAGGAGAATTGCTTGAACCCAGGAGGCGGAGCTTGCAGTGAGCCAAGATCACGCCACTGCACTCCAGCCTGGGCGACAGAGCGAGACTCCGTCTCAAAAAGAAAAAAAATTTTAAAATAAATAGACTGGACATATTGGACATACACTGTTCTGTACTCTACTTCCCCCTTAACTCAACAATTTACTCAACAATATTTATATGCATTGATGTGGAAAAATATTCATTCTTCTTACCAGCTACACATATCATTCCATTGTATGGTTATTCAGAGCTCCTTTAATGACCATCTCCCTAAGAGGCACGTAGCAGATTTCTATATTTTCTCTGTTATAAACAGTGCTGTATTCATATCCTTGTACTCATATTCTGGAGGCATCTGTCCTTAATAGCCATGAGTGGTTCTGCTGAGTCAAAGGGTATAGATGTCCTATACATAAAGGCCTCGCTTGGGTGCCAGGCATACCCTTGGAGATTAACAGAAACTCCCAGGAGCCAGGAGGTAGACCTTACCGACCACATTGGTATGCCCCATAAAGCCTAACATGGCTGAGCGCGTTGGCTCATGCCTGTAATCCCAGCACTTTGGGAGGCTGAGGTGGGCGGATCACTTGAGGCCAGGAGTTTGAGACCAGCCTGGCCAATATAGCAAGACTCCGTGTGTCTATTAAAAAAAAAAAAAAAAAAAAAAGGTCTAACAAAGCAGACTGCCCTGGGCATGGTTCACAGTCAAATTCTATTTGCATTAACCATGTATTAATTTAGTTGTTCCACGGTAGTTATTAACTGGTTACTATGTGTTCTAGACCCTGGGGACTCATACAGCAGCCGGCAGCAAGCGTGGTCACAGACCCCTGTCCTCACCAAGCACACATCCTGCCCATGGTGCTGGCAGATCCCTCTCTGAAGAGTCCAGGAGAGTCAATAAGGAAGAGCATGTACATTTAGTTCCAAGGGCAAATGGGTAAGAAATTAAGAACATGGCTTCACTTGCCTCATATCTCTATAGTAGCCTTTCCCAAAGTGCATCTACTAAGGGAATGATTTTCCTGGTCGGTGTCCTTTGAGAAATGCTGCACATTCCAGAGCTATCCCTGACATATACATCACTAACATGCTAGAGGCTCCTATTTTACCCAGCATCCCAAACTTTTTTGAACACAAAGCCTGTTTGCAGCAACTCCTGTTAACACTCTCCCTTCCATGGAGCACGCTTGAGGACTCTGCTCCATGGCTCATGGTATGTCAAGGTGAGAGGAGTATCATCCCCTTAACCCACTCCCCATCACTTTAACTCACAGGTGGAAGGCTGAAGGATATGACAGAAGACCTACATTTTGATCTGGAAACCAATTACTAAATGGCACCCATAATTTAAATGAGATGGTTATCAGTATGGAAACATTCGAGTATACAGTTCCATCTGACAACTACTGAAGAGGGCCAACTGGGTGCCAGGCATCCCAAGGAAGACACAATCCAGGACCTTCTGGAATTGTCTGTCATAACACACTTGCTGCTGTCCTGGGTGAAGAGACCTTGCTTAGCAAGCAGCAGCATGAAGACACTGAGGTCTCTCCCCTTCTTATCCAAGTGAGTGTTCACTTGGGCCTCTTCTCTGACAGACTTACATATAAGTAGTGTGACCGAAGGGGGCAGAAACCATGCTCATGGAGAATCCAAAATGGCACCAGAGTCCCAGGGCTTGGTTCTCAGGACTTGACATTAGCATTCTGCTTTATTTTGGGTCCCCAAGTTACTTCTGCAGCTATTCGCAGAGCACAGCACACTGTCCCGGACATTTCTGGGTCATTTCTTGCTCGGGTGGATGTAGGTGCAAGGGGTCTTGCCATGGGCCTGCTCTTCATACAATCCTTACTTCCCCCAAACCTGGGCTCCCTCCTCAAGGAGGTACCCCATCTCCCCCATTCCTCCACCCATGGGGCAAAGTCAAAACTGCAGCCCTTTGCCTTTTCACCTATGCCCAATGGCTTACCAAATTTTGCTGATTCTGACTTCCAAATCCATCCATCGTTTTTTCATCCCCACTGCTGCCACCCTGGCCAGGACACCAGATTTCTCACAAGTCCCAACAACATTCTCTTCTGGGGGCTCCTCAGCCCAGCCCACCTTGCACGCCCCTGCCCCCTCCCCAACACGGTCTCCATGCAGTAGCAGAGGGACCGTTCTCAATCATGGATCTGACCTGCACCACCCTTCTCCAATGACTGTGCTGCTCTTAGGGTAAGATGTGACCTCCTCCTGCTTATTGTTTCTGAACACAACACTCAAACTCCTAAGTTGAACTATATTGAGCCTTTTTTTTTTTTTTTTTTTTTTGAGATGGAGTCTCACTCTGTCGCCCATGCTGGAGTGCAGTGGCACAATCTTAGCTCACTGCAGCCTCCACCTCCTGGGTTCAAGCGATTATCCTGCCTTAGCCTCCCGAGTAGTTGGGATTACAGGTGTGCACCATCATGCCCGGCTAATTTTTTCTACTTTTAGTAGAGACAGGGTTTCGCCATGTTGGCCAGGCTGGTCTTGAACTCCTGGCCTCAGGTGATCCACCCTCCTTGGCCTCCCAAAGTGCTGGGATTACAGGCCTGAGCCACCACACCCGGCCTAGACTGAGCTTCTTTTAGTTCTCTTCAAAATCCCAAACTCAATGGTGGCCACATGTGGGGTAACAGGAGACCAACAATGAGGAGCACATTACCCACCCCCTGCCACAGGGTTCATTTACTGCTTCTCTCTCTGTTCAGGTATTATTCCCTCAGGCTGCGGTGCCCAGTGGCCTTATGCTGTGCTCCACCACTGTGGCACTTATGACATCACACTGTCATTGTTTACTTAAAATGCCTCCTTCACTAAAGGGCAGCCAGTGTGTCAGACTTCTTTCCTGCTGAATTCCCAGAACCCGGCAAAAGGCCTGGCACAGGGTAAATGGCCAAAAAATGTTTGTTGATTAACCTAAAAGATCAGCTTTTGCCCTAGGGGTTAGCATCAAACACCATGGGCCCTGCTACTGAAAGCACTGATTGCAGCTCACTCTAGGCCACCTATCTCCTCCCTTTGACTTTTTAGAAAGGTCTGTTCTCTACCAAATTTTCTTGGAACATAATATTCTTCGCACTTTAAGATTCTCAGGATTCGGTTTCTTATTACTGGTGCCATCTTCTGCTGTTGCATTTCCTGACAGCCTTTTTACTGGTTGTCAGTTCGAATGCAGACATCGTGTCTCCTCCGGCCAACCTTGACCCCAGGCACTAAAAGTGGCTTGGCCTTGTTGTGGATCTGTATCAGGCCCCAGCCCCTGCGTGTGCTCATCTCTGGATATCAAAGCTCTCTGAAAACAAGCCCAACCACTTGCAGTGTTTGTTCCATCCATTCTGCAGGAATGGGAGCCTCCCTTAGTACCTTTACCAAAAGAAAGCTGGCCAGATGACTACCCTTGGCCATGTCCACAAGAACAGGCTGTATGTGAATTTTTACAGCCTCCTCCCATTATCACTAGGGGGCCTTGCCTTTCCTCCAGCCTAAAAGACTGATGGAGTTCATCCTGCAACCTGCGGAGAAATATGGCCACACCATACAGCGGCCCAACCCCAGGAAAGTGCAGGTTTGGCTGCTTTCCCCACCTGGTGCGAAGCTCTGGCGCCTTGGCTCTCTGGGTGAACTGGTGGCAAATTCTACCACAGCTTCAAAATCCCCAACTCAATGGTGCCCTAATTTGGGGTAACAAGAGACTTAAGCATAGGCTTGAAGGCTTGAGAGACACAGCCATCTAAAGCCGGAGCCTGGAACACGTCACTGCTGAAATGCAGGGCGGCAGGAACCAGCCCTGTTTCTGTTGCCGCCACCAGGCCTGCTCCTGTGGTCAGGGAGGGGAAAAGGGCGGTTAACACGATGGAGAGCACCCAGCCGGTCCTAGGGACTGGCCACGCCTGACGCCCACAGGTCCCTCTTGGCGGGTCCTACCCCAGGCCAGAGAGCCCAGGCTCTTTGAGTCCTGTTATCCCCCTCCCTCTGGAGGCCACTAAGTGGATTTTAAATCCTTACTCCTCACTTTTTCCTTTCCTCCTCCTCGAGTTCTTCACTTAGTAGTGACCACCCAGGCACCAGGCTCTTGAACATTCTGGTCAGCTGCTGTTCTCTGAAGCATGAGTCACTGCATGACACAGGACATTCTCGCTGGGCAAGGGGGCTCCCAAGGCCTGCCTCACCAAGGGCCCTGTTTTCCGACAGAAACTTTTCATTCCATAGGAAATGAGGTCACACACCAAGAGCACACGGGTAACCGGTGAGAAAATCCTGGTGCCAGGAACGGGGGTGGTGGTGGTGGTAGAAGAGGAGAGGCAAACTAGACCCTAACACTCACGAACCAGCAGGGGGAATCACCTGTGGTTCTTGGGTAATTTGTACTAGGGTGGGGATGAGGAGGGTGGAGGAAAGGGACGCACACAGCTTTAAAAAAATATCTGGTTTCTTTTAAAGTATATACAACATACATGATTTTACTAAGCCAAACTTGCAGGGCATTTGGCTAGCTTACTTTCAAGACTTGGAGCCCCTTAATCTACGGCCTACAGGAGACCAACACACAGGAGGTAAAGAGGGGCAGGGGCAGGGGCAGCGGCAGGAGCGGGGGCGAGAGGCCAGGGCGGCCAGGCGGGCTTCACTGCTTGGGGGGTTGGGAGGTGAGGGTGGGTGGCGCAGTGCTGCCAGCTCCACCCGCCGGCTCCTCGCTCCAGGGCTTGGCTGCAGCCCGGCCTGACCTTCCAGGTTTCCCTGGCAGGAGATCAAAGCGCTGAAGCCACAAACACAGCTCAGAACTCCGAGGCCCTGCGGCCAACATCCCCCCTCCCGCGGCTCCTCCCCGCGCCAGGAGCCCTCCTCCTCCCCACTCCCACCCGTCGTGTACCGCCCTGCAGGGTCCCTCCTCCCCTCCACCAGCCCTGCTTCTCTATGTTCCCCCCACCCCCGAACCCCCAATCCAGCGGGCCGGGACTTTCGGGGCGGGCTGCCATCCGGCCTTCTCCGACCCGGGAAAGTGCCCTCCTCGCCACCGGCCGCGCCCCTCCCCACCGGGAGAAGATATTTCTCGCCATAATTAAAGTCATTAAGCCTCCAAAGGCTCCCGTCGGCTGCAGGTTCTGAGTTCCGGAACGAAGATGATGCATTTTAAGTCCTAGTTAAGATTATGCTGATCTATTTAGGAGACATGTAGCAGCGAGAATTCAGCGGTTAAGTTAGTGGTTAAGGCTGCCTAAGTTTAAATAGTGTTACTTATTCTCAAAATATGTAGCAGCCCCACTTAATTTCTCCTAATTAAAGGTACCCGACTTTAGAGGCTGGAGTCCGCGGCCGGGTCGCGGCGCCATTGCACAGGTTGGTACCCTTTTCACAATCAGAAACTAGTGGGTGTCAAACGGAAATGCATTTCCCTAGATCTTAATCTTAAACATAGACGTTTAGGCCAGTTCCAAGAAACACAATGATCCTCTTTGTTTTAACACCTGACAAGGAGCACCAAAAACCCAGGAAAGCCTGTCCACACCCTCCTGCTCCATCGATACTGTGGGGTGAAAGATGTTATGGAAAAAACCGCAGTTGGGTTGTTTCATTACCTGCCTATGCCTGGAAGATAAGCTTTTGGAAGAACCTGGAAGTCGTTATCTTGGTTGAGTTTCCAGAAGTCCCACTTCAGGCCAAATCTTATATAGTCAGCAACTAGAAACTTCAAAAAGGACCACTCCCCTTCAATGCATATGGCAACTAATTAATATAAACAAGTGTTAATTAGGTGGCAGCATCAGGCTTAACGAGGAACAACAGTGCCTGCAAAGTCTGGACACCCTACAGCCTCTCTGGAGGATGAGAGGCGGCGGGCAGGCTCTCTCTGAAGGCTGAGTTCCTCACAGGGGCAGCTATGCTTCTCAACCTTCGCTCACGGAGGAGGCAACTGGGGAGATTAAAAAACACAAAAACAAAAACAAAAAAACTCGAGCCCAGGACCTACCCCTAGAGATGATTTGATCTATATAGATAAAACCCCAGCAGCAATATATTTTTTAGAAGTTTCGCAGTTATTTTAAAATTCAGATAGGGCAGAGAACCACTGATCTAACCTAAAATTGCACACGGCCTCTGGCATGACTGTCCAGTGCACCTTCTGGAGCTCCTCTCCTGATTCAGTTGGACTGATGTAGACCCAGAGGCCATCTAACCAGCATGCACTGGGACTACTTACAATGAGGCAAATGAAGGTGTTAGAAAATTGCTGAATCAGGTGGTAAACTCATTGAGAAGGCAGAAGATTATTTTGATTACATGATTTTCTTATTTTTATGAAGAGGAAGGTAATTTGGATGAAAGCATTTTTGCTTGCTTCTAACATTCGTGGGACAGGGGACAAGGGCTAACAAACTAGTAAATAAAATAGATCTTACTCTTCTATCTTGACATATGTACCTTCATAAGAACTTGAAACATAGGTTCCAGGTGAGCTTTCCAACTCCTTGGAGCTCCTTGCCAGAGCATGTCAGTGTGGAGACAGCTGACCCCTGGTCCACCCTGCACTTTGAGGGGGTTGTACACAGGCAGGTGAACACCCTAGGCTTTGAGGCCAAGCTGTGTCTACATCCTTGGGAAGAGGGGCATGCTGCCAGTGCACTGTGCCTCCAGGAGGATGGTCCTAGAAGAGAGGTCTGTAAGGGCTAGAAACCAACACAAGGTCATCTTAGGGGAGTTTAGGGATGCTGGGAATGGTTTGGACAGGGGCTTCCCCTTGGACTCCTCACCCTGTGGCCAGAAGGTTTAAAAGAGGGGCCTTAAAGCACGGCCCCCCTGCTTGGTCATAGAGTGGTACTGAGACTCCAAGAGGGAAAGTAAGGAAAGTACCTATTAATGTTCCAGGCAAGGCACCGAGTGCTTTCAAATGATACTGAATCTGCAGAGCAACTCTGCAAGGGAGGTGGTGTTGATCCCCATTTTACAGCTGGAGGCTCAAAGGTTACGTAACTTGCCCATGGATACTCAGCCACAAAGTGGAGAGCTGACATTTGACCTAAGCCTCTCTCCATAATCCCAGGCCAGAGAAATACTCATGTTGTCCCAGGGGGTTCTAAAATCAAGTGTAATGGAGATACGTACACATATATCAATGTGAATGCTGAACCTCCAAATATTCCATTAATAGCTTATGTAAGTATTATATTTCCTGGTAACACAAGGAAATTCCAGATAGCTCTTATCCTAACCCACTTGGTCTCCCTTCTCTTGAAATTTCCCTTTACAAATGTCGTGCAGCTCATGTAGTCAACATAAGGAGGGATTTTTTTTCTCCCCTTGCTGCCTATCACACTCATTGCATCACATCTGGCCCTCCCTGAGAGGTGGCAGGGTGGAACATTTTCCTACTTTTGTACAGGGTTACCTGCTTAAAAACTCAGGCCTATTTAGTCAAAGACTATTTCATCCAAAGGCGTTATATTCATTGCCATTGTAGCCAATGCAAGTTCACAAACACTACAACTTTCATCCTTTATTCTTAAGGATCTAAGTTGTTTCAAAATGGTCCCCTGTGTACCCTATGATATTGACTCCTTTTACGTGATTTTGTATTAGTAGAGTTTAAGAAAATTTCATTATCTCTTCACCTTAAACCAAAATCATTTATAACAGCTACAGAATCAAATCCCTTTCTCTAGAGAAGGGCAGTTACATGGCCCCCCTCAGCCATGTTATTCTTATCTGGGTGCAGTCAGTTTGATGACACCCTACCAAAGCCAGGCTGGCCAACCCAGGCTCTTTTTAGCACTGCTATAGTGGAAGAGCAGGAAGAAAAGGGGGTATCTCACACTGCTTGGACTGAAATCCTAGCTCACCTTCCCAGCTCTGTGACTGTGAGCATGTGATGAATTTTCTGTTTTATTTCATCTGCACAATGGGGATGACACTGAATCTATCTCCTGAAGGCTTCTGGAAGTTGACATGACCATGTTACACTTCATATACATGCAGGGACGTCCCAGTTTAGGCCAAGAAATGATGACACAGCATGAGTCTGGCAGAGGGTGGTCAGTGGCTGTCAGCCCAGTGGTATGTCGGAATGCCTGGGGGAGCTTATTAAATAATAGAGGGGGCCAGGCATGGTGGCTCACGCCTGTAATCCCAGCACTTCAAGAGGCCGAGGCGGGCAGATAACCTGAGGTCAGGAGTTCGAGACCAGCCTGGCCAACATGGTGAAACCCCGTCTCTACTACAAATACAAAAATTAGCTGGGCATGGTGGCAGGCACCTGTAATCCCAACTACTCGGGAGGCTGAGGCAGGAGAATCACTTGAACCCGGGAGGCGGAGGTTGCAGTGAGCCAAGATCGCGCCATTGCACTCCAGCCTGGGGGACAAGAGTGAGACTTCATCTCAAAAATAAATAAATAAATAAATAAAATTAAATAAAAAATAGAGGGGTAGACTCCTTCCTGGAGATTGACTAATGGGAACCGGGCTGGAGGTAGATCTAGCCTTTGTAGGTTTGAAAGCTCCTCAGGCCAACTCTTAGGTGCAGCCAAGATGCGTAACCACAGACCAAGATGCTAAGGAGGTAAGAGAGGGAGAGATGGTGAGCTGGGAATGTGCTTCTTAACCTAACTCATCAAGCCCTTGTTCTTTCCCTCCTAGAATGGCCCAACTGCTTTCTCAGCTACATTTCTGGTTTTCAAGAAACCCACTTATGCTACTCTACCTCAGACTTAAGGAAAGCGCTTGTTGAAGAGAAAATGTGTCTTCGAGGCAATAAACAATTGAGCTTTTTGTGATGTCTGGGGAAAGATACCCCCAAAGCAGAAGTCTGGGTCCCTCACAATCAAAAGCCTCCAAACAACAATGATCACAGACATCCTCTGGTCACCAGGTCTTGGCATGGCACCTGGAACCCAGCAGGCACAAAAATGCTGGGTGGACACAGCCATGGGCACAAGAGCAACCATTTATACGGGGCAAGCTTTTGGGGTTTGTGGCAGAAGTCCTCCTGACTTTTGGGTCCAGGCCTTTGGCCTCCATGCCACAGGAGTCCCAGGGTCTTGCATAGGAGCCTCTGCCTTGAGTAGGAGACAGCAATGGAATGCAAGTTCCAGATGGGTCTTCTGCGATAACAGGATAAAAATAGAGAACGATGAGAATCTCAAGGACACCATTTTCAGGTTTAAGACCTATTTTTAAAAAATGAAACACATGCTTTCTTGAAGTAAGCCCTCAAACATACTCTGAACTGAGCTAACCAAGTCACAGAACTTGTATGTCAACTGCCCAACTAATATCCACTTATCTGTGATAAGTGGTGACGGTTCTGCCACTAGAAGGAATTTTAGTGATGGGGTCTGGGGGTGTGGAGAAGGGATATTGGCCATAGCAGTCATGAGTTAGGCTGTAAAACATAAGTTAAACGCAGAGTGTCCTATATTGAATTAGACCCTAAAATGTGCTATATTTTCGGGTCTAATTCAAGTAACAAGTGCTATAATCACCTTTCCATAGGCTAACAGAATGAAGGCTGTGTCAAATCTATGCTTTTATTTCTCCCAAATGCGTTCCAGTCCTGGTACTCAATAAATAGTCATCACAATGGTGCTGATGATGGAGGGGGAAGGAGAAAAGTGGCAGAGTCATCAAGCTAGCCTTCCTCAGCCCGACAGCTAATGCTAGCTGGAGAATAAAGGTGCTCCCAAGCATCCCTACCACGCATCCGGGGTGTAACAATAATCATTAATACTACTTTCTGTCCTGTGTTCACAATCCCATCAATGCCCCTTTCGGGCTGGAAAGCAGTGAGGGGCTTGCAATCCACTAGGTTAAAGAAATGGAACTAGAGGCTGGACGCGGTGGCTCATGCCTATAATCCCAGCACTTTGGGAGGCTGAGGCAGGCAGATCACCTGCGGTCCGGAGTTTGAGACCAGCCTGGCCAATATGGTGAAACCCCGTCTCTACTAAAAATACAAAAAATTAGCCGGGCATGTTGGCCTGCACCTGTAATCCCAGGTACTCAGGAGGCTGCCGTGAGCCTAGATCATGCGCTTGTATTCCAGGCTGGGTGACAGAGCAAGACTCCGTCTCAAAAAAAAAAAAGAAAGAAAGAGAAATGGAACTAGACCAACAAGGGAAACAAATGGATTAAGAGTTTAATTGGGTGGGATTATTTTGAAGGATGCTCAATACACTTCTGCAATGGAGCATCCTGGATGGGGGTGATGTGTGCCATAGGCTGGTGTGGTCAGGAAAGACTTCATGGAGGCCAAGCTGCCAGAATGAAGAGGAAGAGAAGGCCAGCCAGCAGCTGGATATCAAAGGTGCTGGTGGAGGCAGCAGACACACCAAGTATAGGGGAGAGGTTAGCAAAAGGTGGCATAGAGGCTGGGTATGGTGGCTCACATCTGTAATCCCAGCACTTTGGGAGGCCGAGGCGGGTGGATCACTTGAGGTCAGGAGTTCGAGATCAGCCTGGCCAACATGGTGAAACCCCGTCTCTACTAAAAATACAAAAATTAGCCAGGTGTGGTGGTGGGCACCTGTAATCCCAGCTATTCAGGAGGCTGAGGCAGGAGAATTGCTTGAACCTGGGATGTGGAGGTTGTAGTGAGCGAAGATGGCACCACTGCACTCCAGCCTGGGCGACAGAGCGAGATTCTGTCTTCAAAAAAAAAAAAAAAAAAAAAAGTAGCACAGGGTTGCATGGTTGGGTATTATTATCCACTCACATGGCCATTGTATAAACTTAACAACTATTTAGTGATTACCCTTTCTGTTGGTGGCAGCTGGCATGCCCACAGTTTAGTTTCTGGAACACAGCATCCAAGCAGTCACTATGGTTTACTGACATTTTTGGGTCACTACCTGAAATTTTATTTTTTCTGGAAGGGGTTCCCTAATCCCTACACCAAGGCCCAGTCCTGTGGCAATGTGCTTCCAGACAAAATATTCATTAATTTAACAAATACTTATTGAGCATATACCATGAAGGTACAATCATATGCCAAAAGAACCTAGTCCTAAAAGATCTAGTGCCTCTTCTCATGGTGTTCTAGTAGTTATACTAGGGACCCTACATGCACAGTGAGAGGTAAGTGCCCTGAAGAAGAGAAATATCACAGGACTGCAAGAAGAAGAAAGGCACTGCTGACTGAGCCTATGTGTCTCCACTTTATATCAACTTGTTATCTTGTGAACAGCAGACCTCAGTAGCAACGCACGCTGCCTGGGAACCCTCAGCAAATATTAAAACATCTACTCAATATTAACACTCATATTCACCAACAAATACAGGGGCAATTATTGTTTCAGGAAGGCAGATTAAAGTATAGTTTGACAGCCTTTAACAGTGCAGAAAATTGAAAGCAAAAAAAAAAAAACAGTTAATGCCTTTGAAAGTCATTATAATGAAAGAGACTCGAGAGACTGAACCACAGAAAGGTGGAGTTGGGCCGGATCGCTTCCTTTGGTCAATAACAGGTGAATGACTGTCATTAAGAAAAGGACTTCTTGCAAAAGAACAGCTTAATCCCAGGAAAAGGAAAGAGTAAAAAGGTTACATTAAGGGAATCAGGGATAATCTCTATCAATTACCCAGAGCCTTTCCTGTTAGGAAAGTCTCAAAAGAAGAACAGGAAAAGAGCTGGGTCATGATCCAGGGTGCTTACACTTTGTTTTATGATCCAGGAGTTTGGCAGTCTGGTTTGTGGGTAAGTGGAGAGAGCTATAACTACAAGCACTATGTAACCCCCACAAATAAGCAGGTAATTGTAGAATATGCCGACATTGGCTCAAGAGGCACCCAGCTATCAGGCAGGCATGGGGAACTGGCTGGCATTTGGGGGCTAAACAAATCAAACTGCATACCTACCAGGTGGCTGGGACATTTGGAAAGACTGATGAGCCAAATCCAGAAGAGGGACCACAAACCACTCCCTTTGGAGGGAAGAGTTCTGGCCAGACAGCCCCACATGGAATAAATGACTGATCCTACTTCTCTATTCCTGGGAGACAATGCAGCACACCCAAGGAGAGACTGAGCCTGCTTCTCCATTTGTGGGAGCTAATATAGCCCACCGTAGGGAACTGAGCCTGCTTCTCCATGCCTGGGAGTTAATGGATCCCATGCAAGGGAAGCAGCCTGCTTCTCCACTCCTGGGAGCCACTTGAAAGTCACTGCAGTCCTCATGCTGGGGGACAAAGAGGGTCTCTTAGGCAACATGGACCTTGACTATGGTCTATCTGAATCAAGTGTCCCTCAGTCCTGGAGTGGGATGAAAGCACACCTAGTCCCATGTCCAAGATTTGCAAAGGAGGCATGACTTTCCTGAGGTCAGAGTGTGCTGGCAGCGGGGGAGGGTGTTCCATCAGAGCCAACTGCTTCCTGTCAACCCTGCCCCGACTTCTGTAGAGTCCATTAAGTTTTATAATATTGAAGATTTTTTGTTTTCTGGGAAATCAGAATTTAGAGGACTCCAATGTTAGTTTCTCAATAATAACTTTAATCAGGATCTATTAGTAAACACATAGACATTTTGTGTATTATTTCAAGCAATTTTTTATCAGAATTACAGAATTCCTGTACCAGGAAATTTGAAGCCAAGCATTTAAGGAAAGAATTTTTTAAAAACCAATTTGTTGGAGGTGGGAGGGGGGTGGACGATGAGAAATTACTTAATGGGTACAATATACATAATTCAGGTAATGGCTACACTAAAAGCCCTGACTTTTCCACTATGCAATATACCCATGTAACCAAATTATACTTGTACCCCATACATTTATACCCAAAAAACTCTCATTTGTTACAGGGAAGTTGACTATAAAGGACCTGCTAGCAGGCAAGTGTATGGTAGCTTATAAGGGAGATGGAATCTTGAAAAGAAGGGTAAATTAAAGTATTTTCAAATATACCAATTGAGTTCACTTAATACATTTTAAAGTGAGTATCTGTAACAACAATAAATTCTCCAACCTACTGAGATTGCTTCTAAAAGGATTAGGACATCTGCGTAACTCAGACTTGTAAGACGGACAGCTGACAAAAGTCAGGGTTGTGGGTTCTTTTTCCCCCATCTGAAACTTCATGAAGTAATTTAAAGTCAAGGTTTTTAACAGAGTACTGCTGGTCACACAGTCACATACCTAACCCTGTTCTCACACTATCATGAGACCATGCTACACCAAGATCCAGTGATGGGCAGGGACCAACCAAGACTCAGAAATACCAGGCTCCCCAAGTCTCCAGTCCTACTTCAGTTTTAGCCTTTAGAGAAAGTGTGTCTGGGATCAGGATCTGACAGTCAAGAGGAGGTTAGGTTTGGGGGTCACGTTAACAGCTAACAGATGAAGTTACAGATTAACTCTTCACTGCCATTAGTTGGTTAATGTACAATTCGTAGGTAACTTCAATCATCCTGGCCCAAGTTCAGAGTAAAAAAAGCAGCGTTCTCTTTTCTTAAAAAGTAATAAAAAGAAATGAACTACTGTTATACACAATCCACATGAATGTATCTCAAAATAATTATGCTGCGTCAAAGAGGCCAGAATAAGCAGTATATACTGCATGATTCCATTCGTGTTAAATTCTATAAAATGCAAACTTGTCTACAGTAGGAGAAAGCAGATCAGTAGTTGTCTGGTGTTTGGCAGGGAAGCCAGGAAAGGGAGGGAGGGATTTTAAAGGGGAATTGAGGGAATGTGGGGGGAGTGACATATATGTTCATCTTGATTGTGGTGATGGTTTAATGGGTGTGTGTGTGTGCATGTGTGTGTGTGTATGTGTGTGTGCATATAGGTCAAACCTTAACAAATTGTGCACTTTAAATATGTGCTGTTTATCACATGTCTATTATACTTCAATAAAGATTAAAACAAGGCCGGGCACGGTGGCTTACGCCTGTAATCCCAGCACTTTGGGAGGTCGAGGTGGGTGGGTCATTTGAGGTCAGGAGTTCGAGACCAGCCTAGCCAACATGGTGAAACCCCGCCTCTACTAAATATACAAAAATTAGCCGGGCATGGTGGCGCGTGCCTGTAATCCCAGCTACTTGGGAGGCTGAGGTAGAAGAATCTCTAGAACCTGGGAGGCGGAGGTTGCAGTGAGCCGAGATCTCGCCACTGCACTCCAGCCTGGGGGACAGAACGAGACTCTGTCTCCAAAAAAAAAAAAAAGATTAAAACAAGGAGTGAGGGGAGAATCTGCAACTATTCTTTTTCCATTATTGCCTCTTATTACTTCAAAGCAAAACTATTTTGACACAGACAACCTTTCACCATGTGAATGCATTTAATTTTAGTTAATATAGGAAAATTCCAAAGCCAGTTTTAAAAATTATGCAGATCGAGCAACATAATACCTCCTTCTGCTATCTACTAAAACTGGCTCAGTATTTTATTTTATTTTTATTTATTTATTTATTTATTTTTTTTGAGACAGAGTTTCGCTCGTTTCCCCAGCTGGAGTGCGATGGCACAACCTTGGCTCATTGCAACCTCCGCCTCCTGGGTTCAAGTGATTCTCCTCCCTCAGCCTTCTGAGTAGCCGGGATTACAGTATTTTTAAAACAGGCCGAGTGCAGTGGCTCACGCCTGTAATCCCAGCACTTTGGAAGGCCGAGGTGGGCGGATCACAAGCTCAAGAGATAGAGACCATCCTGGCTAACACGGTGAAACCCCATCTCTACTAAAAATACAAAAAATCAGCCAGGCGTGGTGGTGGGTGCCTGTAATCCTAGCTACTCAGGAGGCTGAGGCAGGAGAATGGCGTAAACCCAGGAAGTGGAGCTTGCAGTGAGCCAAGATCGCCCCACTGCACTCCAGCCTGGGCAACAGAGCGAGACTCTGTCTCAAACACACACACACACACACACACACACACACACACACCCACACACACACAAAAACAAAGCCCCTCTCAATGAAATCTGGATGAATGGGTAAGTTAGACCAGCAGAACAGAGCCCACCTGGACTCTGGGAGGCAGGCAGACCCCAGGTCAGTAGATGTGAGTATACAGTCGGCCCTCCTTATCAGTGGGTTTCACATCCGTGCATTCAACCAACCACGGATGAAAAATACTCGGAAAAGAAAAAGGATGGTTGCGGCCAGGCACGGTGGCTCACACCTGTAATCCTACCACTTTGGGAGTCCGAGGCGGATGGATTGCCTGAGTCTAGGAGTTTAAGACCAGCCTGGGCAGCATGGTGAAAGCCCGTCTGTACTAAAATACAAAAAATCAGCTGGGCATGGTGGCATGCACCTGTAGTCCCAGCTACTCAGGAGGCTGAGGCACAAGAATTGCTTGAACCCAGGAGGCAGAAGTTGCAGTGAGCCGAGATTATGCCACTGCACTCCAGCCTGGGTGACAAAGCAAAACTCTGTCTTGGGGGAAAAAAAAAAAAAAAAAAAAAAAAGGATGGTTGTGTCTGTACTGAACATGACTTTTTTTCCTTGTCATTTATTCCCTGAACCATGCATTATAACAACTATTTATTAATACATAGTACTTACATTGTATTAGGTATCATAAAGTAATCAGAGATGATTTAAAGTATACGGGAGGATGTGCATAGGTTATATGCAAATACTACCGCCATTTTATATAAGGTACTTGAGCATCTGTGGCTTTTGGTATCCATGGGGGGATTGGGGGGGAGGTCTTGCAACCAATTTCCCACAAATGTGAGGGGACAACTATATTTCATCAAGATAAGGATAATCAAGATGGGGGTGGGGTGGGGTGCATACTTGCTAATGCTGCCTACAGTCAGGGGAGCCCAGTGGCCTGAGGGAAATCCCTATTTCCTATTTCTGGTTCTATCACACTTACTGATATCCTCGGGCAAGACACTTAATATTTGATCCCTAGTTTCCTCATCTGTAGAACTAAGACAGTGATTGTACTTTATAGGGTTGTTGAGAGGATTAAATAGTTCATGGGTGTAAAGTGCTTGGTGTAGTTTGGGTACATGGTAGGTGCCAATTAATGATTGCTAATCATTGATCTAGTCTTAAATAACATGGCACTAAGATGTTAATTGCTGCAAATCAGACAGTACTGCTTTGACAGAGGGGACCTGTGTTTGAGTTTTGAACTGGGTATTATCAATTTCTTTAGTAATCGCTTTAGCTTCATGTCATGAATGCAAGTGGTACTGTTTTTCCCTGTACTACCTTCAGCTTTCATATGGGAACAGAATTAAAATAATCACAATTAAATGGGTCTTCAGAATTTAAGTTGTTCTGTTGTAATCTTCAATCTTTACTAGCTCAACTAGAAGGAAGATACATGATTGACACAAAGAATCAAATATCTCCTGCCAAGTGTTACAAGACATTCACACCTCTTAGAGTAAAGAAAATGGCCACAATATTTTATGATTCCTCCCATCAAGAAATTGAGCTTATTTTTCCACCCCTTGAATTTGGGCTTGGCCACATGAGTTGCTTTGGTCAATGGGACATGAGCAAATACAATGCCAGCAGAAGCTTGGAAAATGCTTGAGGGGATCGAATAGTTCATGGGTGTTCATGCTTGCCCTCTCTTGCGGCTGGGAACCCTGAGAACTATCATGTAAGAAGCCTGGGCTAGTCTACTGGATGATAAGAGACCACATGTTGAGAGGGCATGGCTATCCCAGGTGAGGCCCCAAACACTTGAGTGAGGCCATCCTAGATCACTCAGTCCCAGAGGAACCACTAGCTGACCACAGAGATCAGCCAAGCTGGCACAGACCAGAACAACTGCTCAGCTAACCCACAGAATCATGAGCAATGAAAATGACTGTTGTTTTTAGGGTGCTATGTTTTAAGGGCAGTTTGTTATGCAGCAAAAGCTAACTGATACACCTGTGCTAAATGAATGCACAGGGCCATGCTACCTCACCCGTGTTGTCATCTGTACTATTGCTACTCTACCAACCTGTTTACATTGCTTTGTGCTCCTCAGCCTATTTCTGTTTTCTTCTCTCTGAGGTCTTCGGGTTCCCTTCACTGACTCTTACATGGTCCCAACTCACTTACTTGTTTTCCTTTAAGTCCTATGCTGTACCCCTTCTCTCTTCCTAGTCTATACTCTTTTCTGGACAAGCTCATTCTGGACTCCTGGTTTGAATACACACTCCCCTATCTAATGACTTCTCAACCTTCATCTCTAGCCCTGACCCTTTTCAGGGCTAGAGTTCAAAGGGCTCCAGTTCAAAGTCAGAGTCAGGGCTCTAGTCCTGATCAAAGTCAAAGTCACCAAGTTTCTCCCAAACCTACATTACTTGTCTCAGGTTAAGGGAATCACCATCATACAAATCTAGAAACCCAAATCTTCCTCCTCTTCTCTCACTACCCCTTCCCCTTCCTCTCTCCACATCCAATCTCCATAAAGAATCATTTTCAAGTGGGCTCTCCCTTTGCATCCCTGCTACCCTGTAATGCAGCAGTTTCTCTGTCTCCAATCTTTTTCCAGTTCATTCCATACATGATGCCCTGAGCTGTCTTCTCATCCTTCTCAGATTCAAGTCTCAATTCCTTATAATGTTCAAGACTCTCCTTTGGATCCAGTTTGGATCCGGTCTGCCCGTCCGCCCTCCCCTCCCACACTATCTGCCCTCCAAGCACCAGATGCTCCACCCACACAGTTCCCCCATTTCTGAAAAGTTAAGGCATACGCACATCTTCCAGCTGTTGCATAGGTTATTCATGTTACCTCAACTGCTGTCCTGGACCCTTGATTACCTCTCAAAGCGCTTCAATGCTTAAGGACACATCTAAAAGCCTCCTTTCTCTGCAAAATCTTGCCCAATTTTTCTAGAACAATTTCTATACCAGCGTAGCCTCTATGTGAGCTCCTCTTATGAGTCTTTTCTGCACTCATCCTGGTTGACGGATATAAGCTTTCTGTTTCCATGTCCCATTCACAGGCCTAGGGTGTCCACAGTTTCTGTCCTAGCATGCCCAGGACAGCCCCAGTTTACATTTCTCCTCCCACCATAACCCCTTCCATTCTCAAAAGCGTCTCAGCTTGGATGACAAATGATATGGTCACCCTAAATTGGTCTTCCAGTGCTTGACAAAATCAGAGTATACAAGTCTGCTAATCCAGCTTCTCTGTGGTCCCTCTTCATATTTATGGTTTGACTGTCAGAAATTATTGGTCTGCGTTCACACTTGATTTGCTCAACTTTCCACAGACAGCCTGGATGATCTTCCTCCCTGCAATTTAAAAATCACACAACACAGATTGCAAACTCAATTGTCCACAGGGGCCACACTTAAGATTTACGGCAATGGATGTGCTGCTGCAGTGTGAGGACAGCAGAGAGTGGCAGGCGCCGTGGCAGACTGGACAGTGTACACCTGCCTGATGGGGGCAACTTCTAGGCAGCTGGGGCTTCCTTTACCAGGAGAAATGGGACACCAGCACTGCCAGACCTTCTGATTTTTCAAGAGAAGGTAGAAATGTGGATTTTTATATTAAACCTTCCAATTCAAGTGTTGGCAACCAAGTTACACTTAAAATACTGCACAAGTGTACCCTGTGTGGCTAATGCATTTTTGGCTTTCATAAAACTGACAGAGCTCTGCCTGGAAAACATCTCACCTTTGGAAATGGAAATAGACAAGTATACTCCAGAGGCTGGGCCTGTCTTTGACACTCAATGGTTCTGTCCTAAAGGCCATTTGTGGGGGCAAAGAATAGCTGTCTCAATTTCATAGAGAATATAGGGAGCAGACAACTTTCCTTTCTAGGCAAGTGTTACTTTTCCTTCCTACTTCATGTTTCTTGGATGAAAACATTGCAGAGGTGGCTTTAGTGCACCACTGGGCAGGCACAACCCCTAGCATGCTACAGGTGCTTGACACAGGAAGGAAGTTTCTCCAGGTGAATGAACAATGCTCTGAGATAGAGCAGCCCTACTCTGTTCATAGCTCACTCCAACAGAAGCCAGTTCTCTGAGCTGGAGCAACTTCTTTAAATCTGAATATGAAAACATCTCCTTTGAAACTCCCTGGTTAATCAGTAATCACTCTTAAATAGTAAGAGGTCATGCACATATTAAGGAACAAATACACTTCTGTTTTCATGGCTTTAACAGGTAATTTGCAAAAATCCCTAAATTCAAGCTCTATCTCAAGTCCCATTGGGTCCTTAAATTAACCTTTATTGAACAAGTAAAAGGATGGCCTCATTCAGGCTTTCTTGACTATAATTATTCAGCGTTAGCAAGACTTTACTTAGTAGAACAAAGGAAGTGGGTTCTAGAAGAACCTCTTATTTGCCAGAGCTCCCACCCCCTGCCCCAGCAAAGCCTTGTTTCCTTATTCACTATTTTCTAAAGAGAAAGTTCTAAACCATTACAATCTGTCTCTAGGCTTTCACCTTCCTTCAAGGCAGTCACATACCACTTCACCTCCCAGAATGCACCTGACAGGGGCTGAGTGGACACTTCGTTGATCAGGTATCTAGATCTTCATGTGAACATGAGGTCGATACACTGTGCAGGTCTGCATGAACTATGACAACAACCTTCACTAGTACCAGGGGCATCATTTAGTAATGATCACTTAATCTCTTGCAACATTATTCAGTTCACAGTATAAGATACAACTTTCATCAGCCAAGCCAGTTTCAGTTTTTTTGTTTTTTTTTTTTTTTGAGACAGTTTCACTCTTGTTGCCCAGGCTGGAGTGCAATGGCGTGATCTTGGCTCACCGCAACCTCAGCCTCCTGGGTTCAAGCGATTCTCCTTCCTCAGCCTCCTGAGTAGCTGGGATTACAGGCATGTGCCACCACGCCCAGCTAATTTTATATTTTAGTAGAGACGGGGTTTCACCATGTTGGTCAGGCTGCTCTCGAACTCCAGACCTCAGGTGATCCACCCGCCTCGGCCTCCCAAACTGCTGGGATTACAGGGTTAAGCCATCATGCCCAGCTGTCCTTCCCTTCCTAAAACCACGGGAGAGGGAAAGAAGTCTGGAAGGATTTTTTTTTTTTTTTTTTTAAACAGAATCTCACTCTGTCACCCAGGCGGGAGTGCAGTGGTGCAGTCTCAGCTCACTGGAACCTCTGCCTCCCAGGTTCAAGTGATCCTCCCACCTCAGCCTCCTGAGTAGCTGGGACTACAGGCGTGCACCACCATGCCTGGGTAATTTTTGTATTTTTAGTAGAGACAGGGTTTCGCCATGTTGGCCAGGCTGGTCTTGAACTCCTGACCTCAGGTGATCTGCCCACCTTGGCCTCCCAAAGTGTTGGGATTATAGGCATGAGCCACCGTGCCCAGCCTGGAAGGAAGAATATTAACCCAAAGCCAAAAAACAAAACTGGATTTCAATTAAACTTTGGACTTCTTAGGCTACAATAAGCGTTAAAACAATTCAAACTGGTAAGTTATAGGCAATTATTAGAAAAATAAAGGTTTTATATATACATCCTTTCGTATCACATAGCATATTATGCAACTTTCAGAGGATTTAAAAGCAACTGTCACATAATAATCAAGTAGAGAATATTTAACGAGATACCTAAAATAAAGGAGCTAACTTTCTGTAAGACTTGAGTGCCTTCATTTTATTTCTTAGCAGACAGGAGGCAGATACTAATACTTATATGGTAGCAAAGTGCTGTTTGATGGGTTAGAAAGTGACAGAATGACAGGAAGCATCAGAGCACACCCCAGGTTGCAGATGTGTCAAAGAACAGATGACGGAGCGGAGGCAGGCAAGCTCTGATGTGGGGAGTGGGCTGTGGGAATCTTTCCCTCTCTTCTTTCAGGAACCTTGACTCTGAGCTCTTGGCTCGAGGCAGCCTATGCAGAGAAAAGCCCCACTCACCCAGTTTGTTGGCCTTGCAGCTGCATCACAATCTGCAGTTGCCCTGTTTGTTGTCTTTGTGTTTACTTGCTGCTAGTTGTCTCTGTGTCTCCTCTACTGACCAGGAGCCCCATGGGGGCAGTGAACTTGTCTACTTTAATAAGTACTGTATCTGCAGCGTCTAGCACACTGCCTGGGATACAGGCAGTGCTTAATAAACATATGAATGAATTCCAAAAACAGAGTCTGTATTTTACACTGAGCTACAAAAGGGAGATACTTAGTCAAGCTCACTGCATCCAGGCTACCTTTAAGTGCAGCTAGGAGGCTGAAGCATCTCTGCTTTCTGTCAAACACGGAGCGGCAGGGAGATGGTGTGTAAGCCTAGCTTCTGAGCAGCTGCAGCTGCTGAACTGCTCTTGGTTCAGGGGTCTCACCTACATCAGGAATCACATCACCCAAGCCTGCACTACAACTCCTGCAGGCCGGGGGACTGCTGCCACTGGGGGAACCAGTGGGGACATTCAGGGGATAAATGAGTGACTTCAGATGACTGAACAACATCAAATATGCCACTAAGTGAGGGGGTAAGGGGTGAGACATGACCCCAAAGCAATAAAACCATCAGTGATAATTAGAGTAACATGTCTCAGCTCTTCCTGAGGACAAGATTTTGGCTGGGATCCTTGCTGTTGTCACTGCAATACTCGGAATGGCTGTGTGACTTTGGCTGTGTGACTTTACAGCAATGACACAGAAACGACCAGGACAGATGAAAAAAATCCAGGGAAAAGCTATTTAGGGGATAATATTGAGACTATTAAGACTTTCATAATGTTTTTCTCTGAACACAGACATTTTTAGCATTATTAGCAATGCAAGACCATCCTGGGAAAGGCTACCACCAATATTCTGTGAGGCCCATGGTTGCTTATGTTAGAGCATTGCGCCCAGCCTAACCAGGCCTCCACGCCTGCCCCATCCAGTGCCTCATGCTAATGAAGCAGCAATGCCAAAAATCCAGTATTATTCAATTTACTCCATATCATCACGCTTTTATGGCCTATACAAGTAATCTAAAAATCTGTGATAGAATCTGGTTCTTGATATCTGAGTCCCCTTCCAAAGCCACTGTCATAAATTTAGCCAGGAATGAGTCAAGCTGTTCATTAGGTACAAGTGCAAGTTGACATCCAAATTATCAGGGACCCTCTCTTAACACCATTTTGGTTGGATACAGCTTTAAATTAGCTGTAACTGTAACTTGGCAAAGATTTTCAATAATAACAAAGGGTAAAAATTGCCATCATATTTTGCCATTTAATCAGCACATGTTCCAAGGAGCCAAGGAATAAAATCAAAGACAAAAGGGCAAGGTGTCGTCTTGCCTTATCTTTTTAGAGGGATCAATGTTGCATCTACAAAACCAGTTTTCTTTTTAGTCCTTGATGTACCTGTTTCCCAATGACTTTAAGTGGTTTCTAGAAGCTTCACTGAAAATTAAACTGAGAAGTTGGAACAGGGGAAGTTACTAGCATGGAAGGGATACTCTTCACAGTCATCATTTTGCCCGACAGCTAACAGAATGGGCCGTTTTTCTCCAAGTTGAAGCAGCCTGACCACAAGCAGAGAGCTGAAAAAGAAACATCTTGGGATTCCCTGAAAGCTAACTTTAGACAGCATGAGCAAGCTGAGGACTTCTGGGAAGTAAATGCAGCAGACATATTTGTCTACCATGTGGCAACCAGGAATGGGTGGCTCTTCAACAGCACTCGGCTTCCCAAAAAAGAGGGGGTAGGAGCAGACTGTTGGTCAGGAACCTATCAGTCTGTTATGCAGAACTGTATCAACTACCATCTATACGCTTAAGTAACTCAAAGGACAGAACTGATGAGAAGAGCAGGAGGTCTGGAGCTAACCTGGGACGGAGCCATGGCTGATGTCTGTAGCTTAGCCCCTTCCCCTGAGTCTCAATGTATTCATCTTTAAAGCAGGGTACCAACCAGATCACAGAGTTGTAAATATTAAAGATGATTCTATCTGGACAGAGCCCAGCCTGAGACTCAGCATGGAGTCGTGGTTAGGGAGAAGCATCCTTCCTATGTTAAGACTAAAAAATGTGTAATTCCCCTTCAGAAGTTGAAATCACTTAGACACAAGCATCCTGTAGTAAGCTGCGAATTTAACAAGTAAGTTAACGGCCCTCGATGGGGGCCCTTCCTACACCTACCAGTGTAAAGGATGCTGAAAGGTATGTCTTTGTTTT